>NT_187515.1:313356-354444 GCF_000001405.40 Homo sapiens | reverse complement strand
CACGGAGTATCCCCGCCTCTCCCAGTGGCCTGTGCACCCTGCCTGGGGCCCTTTTTGGGATGGGGCAGCTACACTTCCCTTACCAGTCAGAAAGCCCCATTCACGTTTGCTCAGACACACTGGGGTGGGGGGCAGGTGCGCGGGGAGGGTGCTGGGGGAGTGGGGGTGGGGATGCTGCCCCTGACCTCACTGACTCACACGATGCACCAGGCCCCTTCCAGGCACTGGATGTAGGTAGATCCGTTTAATCCTCACCCCCTGCGAGCGTGGATCATTATAACCCATTATAGTGCAGACCAGGGAACAGACGCAGGAGACTCCGTAAATGCCCAGGTCCACCCTCAGTAAGCAGCAGGGCATGCCCCTCCAGTCCTAGACCTGAGAGAAGAGCTCTGCTACAGAGAGGGAAGGGCTGGGTCCCCACTTGGCCCAAAGAAGGCAAGAAACAAAGGCGCCCAGGAATAAATGGCCACTGCAAAGGTCATAGAGTTGGAGCTTCAGCTCTGCCCTGGGAGTGGAGGGGCACTGATTCCCAGAGGAGGAAACTCAATCCTAAAACCCATTATTTAAATGTCAGGCAAGGGAAAGGCGTTGTAACTGAATTTGGTTTGCACTGAGCGGTGGGAGTGACTCTGAACCCACCCTGAGAGCACAGTGTCGCTGGCAGGCCGGGCGGCTGCCCCCTCGCCGCTTGCCCAGCACGGTTCTCAACCTGCCCCGTCGCTCATGGGCGTCGGGCCTCCTGCCAGCTGGTGTCCTGGCGGTGCCATACCCAGGGCCACCTGGAGACTGGAGGGAGATGCCTCGGGCAGGAGGACTCACAGTCTCCTGAGTCCAAGCCCTGGACCTGGTGGGGACTTGCAGGTGGCACCCCCGGGGAGTCGGCCCCCCAGGCAGAACCCACGCCTCTGTTTCTCTCCGCAGGTGAGCGCCGAGCCGCCCTGCTGGTCACCCGCGCGGCCTCGGCCTTCTTCCTGGACGGCCGGGCCCAGGACGTGTTTTGGAACCTGCAGGAGGCCTTCCGCGAGAGCCCCTCTGGGGCGCGGAGGCAGTTCCAGGCCGTGTTCTCTGTCCAGGACCAGGAGCGCGTCCGGGCTCAGGCGCAGGAGGCCGCGGACGTGGGCTTCGCCCGCTTCCAGGAAGCCGTGCGGAACCACCCTGAGCTCCGCGAGGATGCGGGCCGCGAGCTGCTGGCCCCGGTAACCCGCGCGCTCCGCGTCCTGCTTCGCCTGGCGCCTGCCGGGGCGCGACCCGCGCTGGGAGCCCGCCTCGCCGAGTGCCTGCTGCTGGCAGGGGACGCGGCGGGCGCCCGGGCCATGTGCGAGCGCCTGCTGCGGCCCGCACGCCCTGAGGACCCTGCGGGGGACCGTGCAGGGGACCGCGCACCTCTCCTGGCTCTGCGCGGCTTCTGCGCGCTGCACGCCGGGGACTCGCGGCGCGCCATGGAGGACTTCCAGACGGTAGTGGAGCAGGGGGCGCCGCACCCGGGGGGCTGTGTGCGCGCGCTGTGCGGCCGGGGACTGCTGCGGGTGCTGGCGGGCAGCGCGTTCCTGGGCACGCTGGACTATGTCACCGCCTGCAGGCTGCGGCCCGAGGAGGCGCTGCTGGCCGCCAAGGCCTACGTGCCCTGGAACCAGCGGGGGCTGCTGCTGGTGGTGCTGCGGGAGGAGGCCCGTGGGATGCTGCAGCGATCTCCACGCGCCGGGCCGTCCAGAGCGCAGGGCCGGAGGGAGGCCGCAGAGACGGGCGGCCCCACCACGCAGGAGGGGTGAGGACCCGCCCGGGCACGCTGGGGCCGCTGCTTCCTGCGGGTCTCCTTCGAGGTAGCGACGGATGTGTTTCCTCCTATTTTACAAAGGAATGAACGGAGGCAGTGGCTGGTGACTTCCCAAAGCACCCGAGGCAGGTCTAGCTCCGCTGCTTCCATCGACCGGGCCGCAGTCCGGAAATGGAAATCCGCGGCTCACATTTCCTTCCAGGCCTTTCGTTTGGTGCATGTAAAATAGCTCACCAAACCGAGTCTGTGCTGGACATGCTGTTCATATGCTAATTTTCTTACTCAATAGGTCATGACGATTCCCTTTGTGGCTAAATGTGTTTCCGGCAGCACCGCCCCGACCTGCGCCCCTGCCACTACTCCTTCCAGCAGTCCTGGGGTTGGTTTGTTTTGTTTTGTTTTGTTTTTTGTTCTTTGAGATGGAGTCTTACTCTGCCGCCCAGGCTGGAGTGCAATGGCGCAATCTTGGCTTGCTGCAACCTCCGCCTCCTGGGTTCAGGCCATTCTTCTGCCTCAGCGTCCCAAGTAGCTGGGATCACCACGCCCAGCTAATCTTTATATTTTTAGTGGCATGGGGTTTCACCATGGTGGCCAGGCTGGTCTCGAACTCCTGACCTCAAGTGATCCTCCCACCCGGGCCTCCCAAAGTGCTGGGATTCCAGGTGAGCCACCGCGCCTGGCCTTTGTTCTTAGCTGTAATCCCTCGTGGGTAATGTCCTGTCTCCAGGATGTTCTCTCCATGAGACGGAGACAGGCATGCAGTTCCCGGGTCAGGAAGCGCCGCCACTTGTAGGATCCTTGACTTCAGGAGCTGCCCTCCTCCCACCACAATCTGGCCACCGCCCATCCCCCACTCACCCTTGATGCTCATTTTGCAAATTATTTGCCAGCCCAAAGCCCAGTGGGTGAATCCCTAGCTGCTTTGACTTCCCTCGTGTAATTGCTGGGAGGTGGCAGGAAGGGGTTTCAGCAAAGTTAAAAGCACTGAGTCCGGGGGGTGGGGGCGGTTCTTGGAGGGGCATCATTGATGTCAGCGTCCACCCCAAGGCACACACACAACACACACACGCACAACACATACATAACACACACACAACACACCAGACACACACCATACACACCACACATACAACACACACACCACACACAACACACATGTACATAACACACATACAACACACAACATGTACATAACACACACACAACACACAACATGTACATAACGCACACAAAACACACAGAGTTCCTCTGCCTTCTGGGTGTTTAATTTGCGTGGCTTTGATTTGCTGCTGGTAAGAAACTTTCATTATGTGATGGCATTTATATTTGTTCTCTGGAAATTGTCAAATTTGAGGATCTGGCCCCATTTCCCAGTGAGCACTCAGTAACATTCCCACATGGGCACAGGAACATGCCAGGTGCAGCCATGTGTTTTCTTGTTCTGCCTATAGGCACACCCCTGAGCCCAGCAAGGCCAAATTGTTCGTCTGTGTTTTTGCAGAAAAGGAAACTGAGGCAGGGTCCACACAGGGTCAGCCCTGCCTCTGCCTGTCTATACCGCCACAATCCCACCTCCCACAGGGTAGGAGAAGGGCAAGGGAGAGCGTGAGGGCCGCATGCTAGGAAGGGCACCTTTGGCTTCTGGGGATGGTGTGGCGTGAGGGTCCCTCCGGAGGGAGCTGCCCAGGCCAGGTACATGGAGACGGGATTTCCCCACTGCCCAATCACCTGGGCAGGTGGAGGGGTTGTCAAAAGGGGCATGCCCCCCTGAGCTGATCTCCACACAGGGTCGCCTGCGGCGTGCACCAGCTGGCCACACTGCTGATGGAGCTGGATTCAGAGGACGAGGCCTCTCGCCTCCTGGCGGCTGATGCCCTGTACCGCCTGGGCCGCCTGGAGGAGACCCACAAGGCCCTGCTGGTGGCCCTATCCCGGAGGCCCCAGGCAGCCCCTGTGCTGGCACGACTGGCCCTGCTGCAGCTGAGGAGGGGCTTCTTCTATGACGCCAACCAGGTGAGGAGGCCTGGGGGGTGACAGAGGGCAGGTGGAAATGGGCCCAGCTGGGAAGAGGGCACAGGCCTCCCGTGGCCCTGGCGCTGGACCCCACAGTCTGGGCTTTGGACCAGGCGACTGCATTCAGCCCCAGCTCTGCACCTGCTGCAGGCCCTCACCTACCTGACCCTCAGTCTCCTTATCTGGGTCCTGGTCCCATGGGTTGTCATGGAAATCGGCTGGGGCAGGTCCCCGGGGCCGGCAGTTTCCCTGCATGCGTAGCTGCTTTGTCGTACTTGCTTCCACTGTGGTTACGAAGCATAAGGGCCAGGAACCGACTGCAGGCCGAGCTTCTCTCCAAGTCTCTCACATAAACCAGGCTTGGATGCAACCCTGCCTTGGGGTGGGTAGCAGAGGGGACCTTCCCTCCTGCCTCCAAGACCCCCTGCTCCCAGGAAAGGCAGACCCTTACCTGCCTCAGGTGCTATCCCGGGTTCCTGTTTGAACTGGGGTCTAAAGGTTACACTCTGGTGGGATTCAGGCCTTGGGGCCTGGGGTGAGGGCCTTCTCGCGTCTTCCTCCCCCTGGGGCCCGGTTTGGGTCCTGATCTCCTTGCCCTGCCCAGGTTCGGATGCCCTGAACCTGCATCCTCTTGCTCAGCTTGGGGAACCCGTGTGCCCACCAGCAGCCAGCAGGGGGCAGCATTGGGCCTCCTTCGGATGGAGTCGCGGAGAGGGGACGTTGTGGGGTGGAGGTCTCCCCTCGCCCAGCGACCTGGTCCTACTTGGCCGTGCTGGGCTTTTGCTCCGCGTCGTCTGAAGGACTCCCTGGCGCCTGTTGACCCTTCATGACCTAAAAGCCCCTTCCTCTGCTTCTCATTTGGACCTTGCTCCAGTGGGCCCACTGGGGCGGAGTCTCCACCTCCATGGGATGGAGAAGTCCTAGGCTCGGGAACCCTGAGAGTCCCAGCCCACCAATGCCATCAGCAGACAGATGCGGCTCAGACTGCAGCCCAGAGCGGGCTCACGACTCCCCTCCCTACCTACTCCTCTGCACCAAGGTGGGGACACACAGTCCCTGGCCGCTGTGGGACCCCCACCTATGGGGAGACAAAACGCCCCCAAAGGCTCAAATGGCCACATCGCAACACACGGCCAACCTCCTAGTGCTCAGACAGGCAGAAGCTCCCAGGCTCATGGACACACAGCCAGGGGCTGGTGGAGGCAGCGAGGCAGTAGGGGAGGATCGGGGTGATGGCACAGGGCGGACCCTGGCACAGAGAGGGTGGGGTGAGGAATTGCCAGGGGCGTTGGAACTGGGTGAGCCGTGGGGCAGCAAGGGTGGGACTGGGAGCGTTGGCACCAGGTGGACCCTGGGGCAGTGAGGGTGGGGTGGGGGATGGCCAGGGGCGTCAGTACAGGGTGGGCTCCAGGGCATCGGTCCCAAGGGCATGGGCAGTGACTGTGGCACCCTTGCAGTTGGTGAAGAAGCTGGTCCAGTCTGGTGACACCGCCTGCCTCCAGCCCACCCTGGACGTCTTCTGCCACGAGGACCGGCAGCTGCTTCAAGGCCACTGCCACGCCAGGGCCCTGGCCATCCTGCGGGCACGGCCAGGCGGGGCCGACGGCAGGGTTCACACCAAGGAGGCCATCGCCTACCTGTCTCTGGCCATCTTTGCCGCAGGTAGGAGCTGCCCACCTGCCCCCAGGGCCCAGTCTTGTGCCAGGCACAGGGGACATGGGGAGTCTCTGCCATGCTGGTTGGTGGGGACACGCATGCTCCCCAGGTGCAGGGGCCTCAGGAACACCCACGGGTTGGACAGGGCAAGGGCCACTCGCTGAGGGCATTTCACCTTCAAGGTGGGTGCACCAAGGCCTGAGACCAGGCTCTGAGACCTGGGGCCTGAGCTGGGACCTGAGCTGTGCCCTGCCTGGTGCCTGAGCTGCCGTCCCAGCACCCCCAGTCCTGAGGGGAGAAGGGCCCCTTTCCTAGCTAATGACAAGGAGGCGAGGTCCCTGCTCCCCTCAGCCCTTCCTAGAAATAGTGACAGGCTCCTCCTATGCACGCCTGGCCTCCCCACCCTGGGACACCCAGCACGGGGGTGCTGCCTGCTTCCTGGAGTCAGTGCTGTTTCTGGGGTTGGGGGGCCAGGTGTCTGGAGGGAAGGCGATGTTTCCCAGGACTCGCAGGGATCTCCTGGGGTACAGGGAGTGTGAGAGCCTGGACCTAGATCAGGCTGCCACGTGGAACCCGGCCATGCACTTAGTAAGCACCCCTCATCCTCCTCTCCCAAGCCTGGACCTAGATCAGGCTGCCACGTGGAACCTGGCCATGCACTTAGTGAGCACCCCTCACCCTCCTCTCCCAAAGGGGGATGGCAGCGTTGCCCATGTCGGGTGGAAGTGGGGATTCAGAGGGCTCATTTTGGGACAGTACCTGGCACAGAGAGCATGCCCTGCACACGTCGGCAGGAAGGCATGCAGCCCAGAGCGGCCCAGAGCGGCCCAGAGCAGCCCAGAGCGGCCCAGAGTGGCCCAGAGCAGCCTGGCATGTTGTCCCATGTCCGTCACAGAACAACACCCAGAAGGGGCACAGTAATGACAGCCTCTTTGGCGAGGGGTTGTGGGCAAAAGATTACCTAGGTGCCGAGGCAAGAGACTGAAGGCACAAACTGTTTCAGTATAATAAAGAAAATAGAATAAGAATAGTCATGATACAAATTAGATATAGAGATAATGAACAATTATTAATCATTATTAATCATTAGCTTTTAATATTACTTTTTGTTGCATTACTAACATAATCTAGTAATAACCAGTGGGTGTAGGGTCAGGTGCTGAAGGGACATTGTGAGAAGTGAATAGAAGGCAAGAGGTGAGCCCTCTGTCACACCCGCATAAGGGCTGCTTGAGGGCCCCTTGGTCAAGTGGTAACACCAGTGTCTGGGAAGGCACCCATTACTGAGCAGACCGGGAAAGGGAGTCTCCTTTACTTGGAGGAGTCAGGGAACACTCTGCTCCACCAGCTTCTTATGGAAGGCTGGATATCATCCAGGCCTGCCCACAGTCATCCAGAGGTCTAAACCCCTCCCTGTGGTGCTTCAATGGTCACGTTCCTTGTCCACTTTCATGTTCCTCCCATACTCCTGGTTCCTCTTTGAAGTTTGTAGTAGATAGCGGTAGAAGGAATAGTGAAAGTCTTAAAGGCTTTGATCTTATAAGTTCATAGAAGAAAACGCTGACGTATGCCACCTTCTATCTCTGCTTCAGCTGCCCAAGAGGGAAGGGCCCACTGTCCTTTGATCACGTGACTTGCTTCACCTTGTCAATCACTTAGAAGATTCACCCTCCTTACCCTGCCCCCCTCGTCTTGTATGCAGTAAATATCAGTGCGCTCAGCCGTTCGGGGCCACTACCGGTCTCCGCGTCTTGATGGTAGTGCTACCCTGATCCCCCTGCCCTCGCCTGGCCTCAGAGGCAGCTGCAGTGCCCCCTCCTCACGGCAGCCCCCCAGCTGTCCCCAGTCCTGGCTGAGCTCCTCTTGCCCTGCAGCCAATGCCCCCAAGTCCACCCTGTCTCTGTCTGTCTTGGTGCCCAGTGGCCTGTGAGCTCCCCAAGGTAGGCCCTGAAGCTCATGCACCCTCTGCCCTCCCCGGGCTGGGCAGGATAGATGCTGGGGAAGGGACCCAGCATAGGCTCATCCTGACCCCATGCCGTCTTCCTGCAGGAAGCCAGGCAAGTGAGTCCCTCCTTGCCCGAGCCCGCTGCTATGGGTTCCTGGGCCAGAAGAAGACGGCCATGTTCGACTTCAACACAGTGCTGCGGGCTGAGCCGGGGAACGTGCAGGCACTGTGTGGACGGGCGTTGGTGCACCTGGCCCTAGACCAGCTGCAGGTGCCGCCCCACTCCTGACCTGGGCCTGGGCAAGCACGGGTGGGGGACCCAGGGAGCTGCCTTCCTCCACCCCAAGGAGAGAGGGAGCCGGGTAGGCCATCCTGAGCAGTGAGATGCCCATCAAAACCCATGTTCCCATCCCCACCTGTACAGCGGCTCATGGGAGCCGGGTCCCCACAAACCCAGTTTCTGGGAGTCCTGCCCTTTCATCCTCCCAGCCTCAGTCTGTGTGGATAGATGTGCGAGCCTTCAGAGGTACTAGGGGTCCTCCCCAGCTTAGATAATGCTCAGTGCATGCAGGGGTCCCTCTGGGGTTGTTGGCCAGGAGATGTTCCCTCAGCTGCATTGGTGAGGCTGCCTGGCCCCCGGTGTTGAGAGGGGTTTAGAGGACATGCACAGAGGGAGTAAGTGCTGGCCTCGGCCAGCCATGTCTGCCACAGACAGGTGCAGGGATGCAGCCCCCGGACCCTGATCTGAGCTTCATTTACCTGCTCTTTAAGTTCGGTATCTATGCATTTAAGACTTTCTTCTGCAGGAACTGCTCCAATTTAAAATAAAAGTTGGGAGAGGGGCAATGGCAAGAAGACAGATCCCAATCAGCTGGGGGAGGCCTGTGTGCTGGAAGATGGTTTCTGTTCTGTTTGTTTATGAGCATTCCTTGCTTGCAACTGCACTGCATTCTATGTGGTCTGACTCTGAGGGACTCACACTGGACCTGTGTGCTCAGCCCAGGCCTGCTGCCCTGAGCACTGTCCCTGGAGCCCAGAAGAGTTGGGTCCAGCTAAGCAACCGCAGCCGAATCACTTCACCTCCCCAGGCCTCAGTTTCCTCCTCTGTAAAAGGAGGAGGGAGCTAAACAACCAATGGATCACAGAAGAAATCACACTTCGAGAAGTTAGACAATGCTTAGAGACAAGTGAAAATGAAAACAACACACCCCAAATTATGAGACACAGGGAAAGCAATCCTGAGGGGGAAATGTATAGCTGTAAATGCTTCCATTAAAAAACAAGAAAGATCTCAAATCAACAATCTAACTTTACAACTTAAGAAACTAGAAAAAGAACACATGAACAGAAAGAGAAAGAAAGAGAGAGAGAAAAAGATTACAGCAGAGATCAATAAAACATAGGATAGAGAAGAAATAGAGAAAATCAATGAAAACAAAAGTTTGTCCTTGAAAAGACAAAATTTGACAAACCTTTTGCCAGGTGGACTAAGAAAGAGAAAATTCAAATCATGACAATCAGAAATGAAAATCAGGTTATTACCAATTCTACAGAAATAAAAATAATTATAAGATAGTAATAGGAACAATTGTAAACCAACAAATCAGTTAATCTAGGTGAAATGGACAAATCCCTAGAAACACAAAACCTACCAAGACTAAATCATGAAGAAATAGAAGATCTGAATAGACCTATAACTAGTAAAAAGATTGAGTCAGTAATCAAAAATCTCCCAACAAAGAAAAGGCCAGGACCTGATGGCTTCACTGGTGAATTCTACCAAATATTTAAAGAACTAACACGAATCCTCAAACTTTTCCAAAAAATCAAAGAGGAAGGAACACTTCCTCAGACTCATTCTATGAGGCCAGCATTACCCTGATACCATAGCCAAAGACACTACAAGAAAACTACAGACCATTATCCCGTATGAATATTGAGGCAAAAATCCTCAACAAAATACTAACAAAACAAATTCAGCAATTTGTTAAAATGATGACACACGTGACCAAGTGAGATTTATTGCTAGAATGCAAGGATGGTTCAACATACAAATGTCAATTTATGTGATGTACCACATTAACAGAATGAAAGGGAAAAAATGATCATCTCAACTGATGCAGAAAAGCATTTGACAAAATTCAGCACCCTTTTATGATAAGAATACTCAACAAACTAGGAATAGAAGGAAACTGCCTCAATATAAAATCCATATATGAAAAACCCACAGCAAACATCATACTCAATGATGAAAAAGAAAAGTTTTTCCTCTAAGATCAGGAACAAGGCAAGGATGATTGCTTTTGCACTTCTACTCAACATTGCACTGGAAGTTATAGCCAGAATAACTAGGCAAGAAAAAAATTACCAAGCATCCAAATTTGAAAGAAGTAAAATTATCTCTGTTCACAGATCTTATATGTAGAAATCCCTAAAGATTCCACACACAAAAAAAAATTGTTAGAACTAATAAATGAATTCAGCAAAGTAGCAGGATACGAAGGCAACACAAAAATCAGTTGCATTTTTATACATTAATAATGAACAATCTAAAAAGGGAATTAAGAAAATACAGTCACCCCTTGGTATACACATGGGATTGGTTCCAGGACAACCCTCAGATACTGAAATCCCCACATACTGAAGTCCTACAGTCAGCCCTGTGGAACCCCCAACCCCTAGATATGAAAAGTTGGCCCTCTGTGTACGAGGGTTGCACATCCCAAGAACTGATCTGCATTTGGCTGTGGATTCGGAACCCACCAATATGAAAGGCTGGCTGTATTTATTGAAAAAAATTCACATATAAGGGGACCCACATAATTTTAACCTGTGTTCAAGAGTCAACTGTAATTCCATCTACAATAGAATTAAAAAGAATAAAATACTTAGGAATTAACCAAAGAGGTGAAAGATTTGTACAATGAAAACTATAAAACATTGCTGAAATAAATTAAATAAGACATAAACAAATGGAAACACATTCCATGTTCATGTATTAGAAGACTTCATGTTGGTAAGACGTCAGTATTACCCAAAGTGATCTACAGATTCAATGCAATCTCTGTCAAAATCTCAATAATGTTTTTTACAGAAGTAGAAAAGCTAAATTCTGAAATTCCTGTGGAATCTCAGGGGACCCCAAACAGCCAAAACAACCCTGAAAAAGAACCAGCAAGCTGGAGGACTCACACTTCCTGATTTCAAAACTTACTACAAAGCTACAGTGATCAAAATAGTGTGGTATGGCACAAAAACAGACACAGAGACCAATGAAACAGAATAGAGAGTCCAGAAATGAACCCTCCCATAGATGGTCAAATGATTTGACCAAGACCATTCAATGGGGAAGGGACAGTCTTTTCAACAAATGTTGCAGGGAAAACTATGCAAAAGAATGAAGTTGGACTCTTTCCTAACACTACATACAAAAATTAATTCAAAATGGATCAAAGACCTAAAACTATAAAATTCTTAGAAGTAAGCACAGGGGAGAAGCTTCACGACACTGGATTTGACAATGACTTCTGGGCTACAACAACAAAGGCACAGGCAGCAAAAGAAAAAATAAAGTTGGATTTCATGAAAATTAAATTTTTTGTGCACCAAAGGACACTATTATAATAGAGTAAAAAGGCAACTGACAGGATGGAAGAAAACCACAATATTTGCAAGTCACATATCTGATAAGGAATTATTACCCAGAATACACAGAGAAGTCCTAAAACTCAACAACAACAAAGCCAAAAACCCAATTCAATTTTTGGAGCTGAAGTCTCGCTCTGTCACCCAGGCTGGAGTGCAGTGGCGGGATCTCAGCTCACTGCAACTTCCGCTTCCGGGGTTCAAGCGATTCTCCTGCCTCAGCCTCCCGAGTAGCTGGGATTACAGGTGGGCGACCCCACGCCTGGCTAATTTTTTGTATTTTTATAGAGACGAGGTTTCACTGTGTCATTCAAAAAAAATGAGCAAAGGACTTAAACAGACATTTCTCAAAAAAAGATATACAAATGGACAATAAGCACATGAAAAGATGCTGGACATCACCAATCATCAGGGAAGCACAAATCAAAACAACGAGATATGCCTCACACCTGTCAGGATGGCTACTATGAAGTTTTTAAAAAGAAAATAACAAGCACTGGTGAGGATGTGAAGAAACTGGAACCTTCTGCACTATTGGTGGGAAGGTAAAATGGTGCAGCAGCTAAGGAAAACAGGATGGCCATTTCCCAAAAAGCTAAAAATAGAACTACCAGCTGGGTGTGGTGGCTCACGCCTGTAATCCCAGCACTTTGAGAGGCCAAGGAGGGTGGATCACGAGGTCAGGAGATCAAGACCATCCTGGCTAACACGGTGAAATCTGGTCTCTACTAAAAATACAAAAAGTTAGCCAGGCGTGGTGGCACGCGCCTGTAATCCCAGCTACTCGGGAGGCTGAGGCAGGAGAATCGCTTGAACCCGGGAGGTGGGAGTTGCAGTGAGCTGAGATCCTGCCACTGCACTCCAGCCTGGGCGACAGAGCGAGACTCCAGCTCCAAAAAAAAGAAAAAAAAAATAGAACTACCATATGATCAAGCAATTCCACATCTGGGTCTACATCCAAAATAAATGGAAGTAGGGTCTTTTAGAGACATTTGTACACCATATTCATAGATAGCATCATTGTTCACAAGAGCTTGGAGGTGGAAGGCACCCAGGTGTCCACCGATGGATGGGTGGATAAGCCAAACATGATCCATCCATACAATGGGGAATTATTCAACATTAAAAAGGAAGGGATTCCTGGTACACACTACAACATGGATGAACCTCAAGGACATTGTGCTCAGCAAAATAAGCAGCCACCACAAAAGGACAAACACTGTGTGATTTCCCTTATATGAAGTCCCTAGAGTCATCGAATCACAGAGACAGAAAGCAGAATGGTGGGTGCCTGGGGTTGGGGGCAGAGAGTGCCTGGGGAACGGAGAGTTAGTATTTAACGGGGACAGAGTTTCAGTTTGGGAAGATGAGCTAGTTCTGGAAAGGGATGGTGGTGACGGCCACACAACATGATGAATGTATTTAATGCCACCACACCGTACACATAAAGATAATTAATTAAGATGGTAAATTTTACGTTATGTATATTTAACCACAATAAAAACAAATTGGAAAAAGAAGAGGGTGGGTGCTGCCCCTCCTGGGGATCAGAGGAGGCACCCTGGGGATATGCCCAGGTGTTGCCTGGCCCCTCCCCTGCCTGTCTCCCCCCACAGAGCTCCCATCAACCTCGGGTGAATGCAGGAGGGGCAGGAGAGGAGATGTGGCTGAACAGTGGTTCCTCCAGCCCATAAACAGCTAAGACAAAAGGGACATCCCCTGTGATCTGCTGGCCACCCTCTTGGGTACTAGCCTGAGCTGTCTACTCAACAGGATGCACGGCAGGGATGGGAGGGGTCCACTCCCAGGCCCATGACAAGAGGCTGTCACAAGGGAGACCTGCCCTGAGGCAGCCACAGCCCCGGGGCCCTGCACTTTCTCTGTGGGGGCTGCCAGAGATGAGGGCACTTCCCAGCCAAGAGCAGTGTTGAAATTGGCTGTCTGCCCTGATGCTTCGCTGGGTAAAAGCACAGCACAGAGGCAATGTGCCTGCCAGGGCTTCTGATTTTCTTAAGGGCTGGAGTTCTAGGAAGAAAGGAAAAGCAATCCTGGAGGCCAGGAGGACGACAGCCTCCAGAGGCCATGCTTGCTGCTGCAGGGCAGGCTGCTGGACCAGGGCACCAAGTTTCCCCCAAGTTTCCCACTGGCAGGCCTGACTTCTGTGCCAGCCTGGGCCCCAGGGAGGGAGACATGCATTTGGGGCTGGGAGCCAGCTCTCTGCCTGCCCTTTCCTGCACTGGACAGACTTTCCTGCACTGGACAGACATCTGTGGCTGCCAGGGACATGCCCATTTAACAGCTGGATGTGGCCACAAGGGATCCTTGGAAACTGCCTACAGGTGCCGGAACCTCCTCCAAGGGGTACCACAGGATCCTGTCCCCTCCTCCCGCTGTGTCCAGGGCCGCAGGACCAGAGGCAGGGAAAGTCAGCCAGGACGTTGGAGGGCTAGCATGTGGGAGTGACGGTAGGAGCAGCAGGCCCTCGCCCCGTCATGCCTGTGAATTTGTGCATCCAGGATATGGGCTGATGCTGCGCCCCCCCCCCCATGCCCTCTGCCTCTTCACCCTGAGAGGAGGCATGGCACAGGCTCAAGGCTGTGAGCTCTGACTCAGCGCTGGGGCTCAGCAGCAGGCCCCTCCTCCTGGCCAACAACCCTGTCCTGTCTCTCAGCCTTGGTTTCACCACAGGTAACATGCAGGGGTGCTTCTTCCAGGCGGTCATATGCTCACCTGGTGGAAAAGGACAGCACATATTCCAGGAATTCAGACACTAACCGGGGGGCAGGACTTGTCCATGCTGTCAGATGCTCCCCTGGAGGTGTGGAGTGCTGTTCCAGGCTGTCAGATGCTCCCCTGGAGGTGTGGGGTGTTGCTCCAGGCTGTCAGATGCTCCCCCTGGAGGTGTGGGGTGCTGTTCCAGGATGTCAGATGCTCCCCTGGAGGTGTGGGGTGCTGCTCCAGGTTGTCAGATGCTCACTGGGGGTGTGGGGTGCTGTTCCAGGATGTCAGATGCTCCCCTGGAGGTGTGGGGTGCTGCTCCAGGCTGTCAGATGCTCACCTGGGGGTGTGGGTGCTGTTCCAGGCTGTCAGATGCTCACCTGGGGGTGTGGGGTGCTGTTCCAGGCTGTCAGGTGCTCACCTGGGGGCGTGGGGTGCTGTTCCAGGATGTCAGATGCTCACCTGGGGGTGTGGGTGCTGCTCCAGACTGTCAGATGCTCCCCTGGGGGTGTAGGGTGCTGCTCCAGGCTGTCAGATGCTCACCTGGGGGTGTGGGTGCTGTTCCAGGCTGTCAGATGCTCACCTGGGGGTGTGGGGTGCTGTTCCAGGCTGTCAGATGCTCACCTGGGTGCGTGGGTGCTGTTCCACGCTGTCATATGCTCATCTGCCAGTAGGGGTGCTGTTTTATGCTGCCAGATGCCCACCTCGGGGTGAGGGTGCTGTTCTAGGTTGTCAGATGCTCCCCTGGGGGTGAGAGTGCTGTTCCGTGCTTTCAGATCCTTACTTGGAGAACTGGGGTTCTGTTCCAGGCTATCAGATGTTCACCTGGAAGCAGTGGGGGGGTTTCCAGGCTGTCAGATGCTCACCTGTGCATGGAGGGTACTTTCCCGGGCTGTCAAATGCTCACCTGGGGGCAGTGGTCTTGTTCCATGCTGTCAGATTTTTGCCTGGGGTGTGGGGTGCTGTTTCAGGCTGTCATATTCTCACCTGAAGGTGGAGGGTGCTGTTCCAGGCTGTCAGATGCTCACCTGAAGGGGGTTGTTTTTCCAGGCTGCCAGATGCTCACCTGGGGGCAGTGGTCTTGTTCCATGCTGTTGGAATCTTACCTGGGGATGTGAGCTGCTGTTCCAGGCTGTCGGATGCTCACCTGAAGGGGGTTGTTTTACCAGGCTGCCAGATGCTCACCTGGGGGCAGTGGTCTTGTTCCATGCTGTTGGAATCTTACCTGGGGATGTGAGCTGCTGTTCCAGGCTGTCGGATGCTCACCTGCATGTGGGTTACCATTCCAGGCTTTCAGCTGCTCACCTGGCTGTGTGGAGTGCCTATCCAGGCTATCAGATGCTCACCTGCAGTTGTGGGGTGCTGTTCCAGGCTGTCAGACACTCACCTGAGGGCGGGGAGCTTTTTCCCACTTATCAAATTCTTATTTGAAGTTGTGGGGTTCTGTTCCAGGCTGTCAGATGCTCACCTGGGGGTGGAGGGTGTTGTTCCGGGCTGTCATATGCTCACCTTGTGGTGGGCATGGTTTTCCACGCGTCCCCAGGTGAGCATCTGATAACCCGGAACACCACCCTTAACCCCCATGTGAACATCCAAAAACCTACAATGGCACCTTCCATCCCCAGGTGAGGATCTGGCAGCCTGGACTGGCACTCCCAACCTCAGGTGAGCATCCTCACCCAGGGGTGGGCACTGCTGCTCCAGGCTGTCAGATGCTCACCTGAAGATTCGAGTGTTGATCCAGGCTTTCAGATTCTTACCTAAGTGTGCAGGTGCCGCTCTAGGCTGTCAGACACTTACCTGGGGATGTGGGTTGCCGTTCCTGGCTGGCAAATGATCACCTGGGGTTGTGGGGTGCTGTTTTATCCTGTCAGATGCTCACCTGAGGGGATGTGCTGTTCCACGCAGTCACATCACCTGTGAGTGGGGGTGCTGTCCCATGCCATCGGATGCCCACCTTGGGGTGTGTGGTGCAGGTTCTGGTTGTCAGATGCTCATCTGGTGGTGGAGGGTGCTGTTTCAGGCTGTCAGATGCACACCTGGGGGTGTGGGTACTGCTCCAGGCTGTCAGATGCTCACCTGGGAGTGTGGGTGCTGTTCCAGGCTGTCAGATGCTCAACTGGGGGTGCAGGGTGCTGCTTTATTCTGTCATATTCTCACCTGGAAGAGCGGGGTTCTGTTCCAGGTAGTCAGATCCTCACCTGGGGTTGGAGAATTCTGTTCCAGGCTGTCGGATGCTCACCTGGATGTGAGGATGTCATTCCATACAGTCAGATGCTCGCCTGGGGGTGTGGATGCTGTTCCAGACTGTCAGATGCTCACCTGGGGTTGCAGGGTGCTGTTTTATGCGTCAGATTCTCACCTGGAAGAGTGGGGTTCTGTTCCAGGCTGTCAGATCCTCACCTGTGGTTGGAGAATTCTGTTCCAGGCTGTCGGATGCTCACCTGGAGGTGAGGATGCCATTCCATGCGGTCAGATGCTCACCTGGGGGTGTGGATGCTGTTCCAGGCTGTCAGATGCTCACCTGGGGGTGCAGGGTGCTGTTTTATGGTGTCAGATTCTCACCTGGAAGAGTGGGGTTCTGTTCCAGGTTGTCAGATCCTCACCTGGGGTTGGAGAATTATGTTCCAGGCTGTCGGATGCTCACCTGGAGGTGAGGATGCCATTCCATGCGGTCAGATGCTCACCTGGGGGTGTGGGTGCTGCTCCAGGCTGTCGGATGCTCACCTGGAAGTGAGGATGACATTCCATGCGGTCAGATGCTCCCCTGGGGGTGTGGGTGCTGCTCCAGGCTGTCAGATGCTCACCTGGGGGTGTGGGTGCTGCTCCAGGCTGTCAGATGCTCGCCTGGGGGTGTGGGTGCCGTTCCAGGCTGTCAGATGCTCACCTGGAGGTGAGGATGCCATTCAATGTGGTCAGATGCTCACCTGGGGGAGTGGATGCTGTTCCAGGCTGTCAGATGCTCACCTGGGGGTGTGGGTGCTACTCCAGGCTGTCAGATACTCACCTGGGAGTGTGGGTGCTGCTCCAGGCTGTCAGATGCTCACCTGGGGGTGTGGGCGCTGCTCCAGGCTGTAAGATGCTCACCTGGGGGTGTGGGCGCTGCTCCAGGCTGTCAGATGCTCACCTGGGGGTGTGGGTGTTGCTCCAGGCTGTCAGATTCTCGCCAGCGGGTGTGGGTGCTGTTCCAGGCTGTCATATGCTCATCTGCCAGTAGGGGTGCTGTTTTATGCTGCCAGATGCCCACCTCGGGGTGAGGGTGCTGTTCTAGGTTGTCAGATGCTCCCCTGGGGGTGAGAGTGCTGTTCCTTGCTTTCAGATGCTTACTGGGAGGCCTGGGGTTCTGTTCCAGGCTATCAGATGTTCACCTGGAAGCAGTGGGGGGGTTTCCAGGCTGTCAGATGCTCACGTGTGGGTAGAGGGTGCTTTCCCAGGCTGTCAAATGCTCACCTGGGGGCAGTAGTCTTGTTCCATGCTGTCAGATTTTTGCCTGGGTGCGGGGTGCTGTTTCAGGCTGTCATATTCTCACCTGAAGGTGGAGGGTGCTGTTTCAGGCTGTCAGATGCTCACCTGCGGGTGCAGGGTGCTGTTTTATGCTGTCAGATTCTCACCTGGAAGAGTGGGGTTCTGTTCCAGGTTGTCAGATCCTCACCTGGGGCTTGAGAATTCTGTTCCAGGCTGTCCGATGCTCACCTGGAGGTGAGGATGACATTGCATGTGGTCACATGCTCACCTGGGGGTGTGGGTGCTGCTTCAGGCTGTCAGATGGTCACCTGGGGCTGTAGATGCTGTTCCAGGTTGCCAGATGCTCACCTGGGGGTGTGGGTGCTGCCCCAGGCTGTCAGATCTCACCTGGGGGTATGGGTGCAGCTCCAGGATGTCAGCTACTCAACTGGGGGTGTGGGTGCTGCTCCAGGCTGTCAGATGCTAACCTGGGATTGTGGGCGCCTGCTCCAGGCTGTCAGATGCCCACCTGGGGGTGTGGGCGCTGCTCCACGCTGTCAGATGCTCACCTGGGGGTGTGGGCGCTGCTCCAGGCTGTCAGATGCTCACCTCGGTGTGTGGGCGCTGCTCCAGGCTGTCAGATGCTCACCTGGGGGTGTGGGTGCTGCTCCAGGCAGTCAGATGCTCACCTGGGGGTGTGGGTGCTGCTCCAGGCTGCCAGATGCTCACCTGGGGGTGTGGACGCTGCTCCGGGCTGTCAGATGCTCACCTGGGGCTGTGGGCGCCGCCCCAGGCTGTCAGATGCTCACCTGGGGGTGTGGGTGCTGCTCCAGGCTGTCAGATGCTCGCCCGGGGGTGTGGGCGCTGCTCCAGGCTGTCACATGCTCACCTGGGGGTGTGGGCGCTGCTCCAGGCTGTCAGATGCTCGCCTGGGGTTGTGTGTGCTGCTCCAGGCTGTCAGATGCTCGCCTGGGGGTGTGGGTGCTGCTCCAGGCTGTCAGAGGCTCACCTGGGGGTGTGCGTGCTGCTCCAGGCTGTCAGATGCTCGCCTGGGGGTGTGGGTGCTGCTCCAGGCTGTCAGATGCTCGCCTGGGGGTGTGCATGCTGCTCCAGGCTGTCAGATGCTCGCCTGGGGGTATGGGTGCTGTTCCAGGCTGTCGAATGCTCACCTGGGGGTGTGGGGTTCTGCTCCAGGCTGTCAGATGCTCATCTAGGGGTGTGGGGTGCTGTTCCAGGCTGTCAGATGCTCACCTGGGGGCGTGGGGTGCTGTTCCAGGATGTCAGATGCTCACCTGGGGGTGTGGAGTGCTGTTCCAGACTGTCAGATGCTCCCCTGGGGGTGTGGGGTGCTGCTCCAGGCTGTCAGATGCTCACCTGTGGGTGTGGAGTTCTGTTCCAAGCTGTCAGATGCTCACCTGGGGGTGTGGGGTGCTGTTCCACGATGTCCGATGCTCGCCTGGGGGTGTGGGTGCTGCTCCAGGCTGTCGGATGCTCACCTGGGGGTGTGGGTGCTGCTGCAGGCTGTGAGATGCTCACCTGGGGGTGTGGGTGCTGTTCCAGGCTGTCATATGCTCATCTGCCAGTAGGGGTGCTGTTTTATGCTGCCAGATGCCCACCTCGGGGTGAAGGTGCTGTTCTAGGTTGTCAGACGCTCCCCTGGGGGTGAGAGTGCTGTTCCGTGCTTTCAGATGCTTACTTGGAGGCCTGGGGTTCTGTTCCAGGCTATCAGATGTTCACCTGGAAGCAGTGGGGGTGTTTCCAGGCTGTCAGATGCTCACGTGTGGGTGGAGGGTGCTTTCCCAAGTTGTCAAATGCTCACCTGGGAGCAGTGGTCTTGTTCCATGCTGTCAGATTTTTGCCTGGGGTGTGGGGTGCTGTTTCAGGCTGTCATATTCTCACCTGAAGGTGGAGGGTGCTGTTTCAGGCTGTCAGATGCTCACCTGGGGGTGCAGGGTGCTGTTTTATGCTGTCAGATTCTCACTTGGAAGAGTGGGGTTCTGTTCCAGGTTGTCAGATCCTCACCTGGGGTTTGAGAATTCTGTTCCAGGCTGTCGGATGCTCACCTGGAGGTGAGGATGACATTCCATGTGGTCACATGCTCACCTGGGGGTGTGGGTGCTGCTTCAGGCTGTCAGATGGTCACCTGGGGCTGTAGATGCTGTTCCAGGTTGCCAGATGCTCACCTGGGGGTGTGGGTGCTGCCCCAGGCTGTCAGATGCTCACCTCAGTGTGTGGGCGCTGCTCCAGGCTGTCAGATGCTCACCTGGGGGTGTGGGTGCTGCTCCAGGCTGCCAGATGCTCACCTGGGGGTGTGGACGCTGCTCCGGGCTGTCAGATGCTCACCTGGGGCTGTGGGCACTGCCCCAGGCTGTCAGATGCTCACCTGGGGGTGTGGGTGCTGCTCCAGGCTGTCAGATGCTCGCCCGGGGGTGTGGGCACTGCTCCAGGCTGTCACCTGCTCACTTGGGGGTGTGGGCGCTGCTCCAGGCTGTCAGATGCTCGCCTGGGGTTGTGTGTGCTGCTCCAGGCTGTCAGATGCTCGCCTGGGGGTGTGCGTGCTACTCCAGGCTGTCAGATGCTCGCCTGGGGGTGTGGATGCTGTTCCAGACTGTCAGATGCTCACCTGGGGTTGCAGGGTGCTGTTTTATGTGTCAGATTCTCACCTGGAAGAGTGGGGTTCTGTTCCAGGCTGTCAGATCCTCACCTGTGGTTGGAGAATTCTGTTCCAGGCTGTCAGATGCTCACCTGGAGGTGAGGATGCCATTCCATGCGGTCAGATGCTCACCTGGGGGTGTGGATGCTGTTCCAGGCTGTCAGATGCTCACCTGGGGGTGCAGGGTGCTGTTTTATGGTGTCAGATTCTCACCTGGAAGAGTGGGGTTCTGTTCCAGGTTGTCAGATCCTCACCTGGGGTTGGAGAATTATGTTCCAGGCTGTCGGATGCTCACCTGGAGGTGAGGATGCCATTCCATGCGGTCAGATGCTCACCTGGGGGTGTGGGTGCTGCTCCAGGCTGTCGGATGCTCACCTGGAAGTGAGGATGACATTCCATGCGGTCAGATGCTCCCCTGGGGGTGTGGGTGCTGCTCCAGGCTGTCAGATGCTCACCTGGGGGTGTGGGTGCTGCTCCAGGCTGTCAGATGCTCGCCTGGGGGTGTGGGTGCGGTTCCAGGCTGTCAGATGCTCACCTGGAGGTGAGGATGCCATTCAATGTGGTCAGATGCTCACCTGGGGGAGTGGATGCTGTTCCAGGCTGTCAGATGCTCACCTGGGGGTGTGGGTGCTACTCCAGGCTGTCAGATACTCACCTGGGAGTGTGGGTGCTGCTCCAGGCTGTCAGATGCTCACCTGGGGGTGTGGGCGCTGCTCCAGGCTGTAAGATGCTCACCTGGGGGTGTGGGCGCTGCTCCAGGCTGTCAGATGCTCACCTGGGGGTGTGGGTGTTGCTCCAGGCTGTCAGATTCTCGCCAGCGGGTGTGGGTGCTGTTCCAGGCTGTCATATGCTCATCTGCCAGTAGGGGTGCTGTTTTATGCTGCCAGATGCCCACCTCGGGGTGAGGGTGCTGTTCTAGGTTGTCAGATGCTCCCCTGGGGGTGAGAGTGCTGTTCCTTGCTTTCAGATGCTTACTGGGAGGCCTGGGGTTCTGTTCCAGGCTATCAGATGTTCACCTGGAAGCAGTGGGGGGGGTTTCCAGGCTGTCAGATGCTCACGTGTGGGTAGAGGGTGCTTTCCCAGGCTGTCAAATGCTCACCTGGGGGCAGTAGTCTTGTTCCATGCTGTCAGATTTTTGCCTGGGTGCGGGGTGCTGTTTCAGGCTGTCATATTCTCACCTGAAGGTGGAGGGTGCTGTTTCAGGCTGTCAGATGCTCACCTGGGGGTGCAGGGTGCTGTTTTATGCTGTCAGATTCTCACCTGGAAGAGTGGGGTTCTGTTCCAGGTTGTCAGATCCTCACCTGGGGCTTGAGAATTCTGTTCCAGGCTGTCCGATGCTCACCTGGAGGTGAGGATGACATTCCATGTGGTCACATGCTCACCTGGGGGTGTGGGTGCTGCTTCAGGCTGTCAGATGGTCACCTGGGGCTGTAGATGCTGTTCCAGGTTGCCAGATGCTCACCTGGGGGTGTGGGTGCTGCCCCAGGCTGTCAGATCTCACCTGGGGGTATGGGTGCAGCTCCAGGATGTCAGCTACTCAACTGGGGGTGTGGGTGCTGCTCCAGGCTGTCAGATGCTAACCTGGGATTGTGGGCGCCTGCTCCAGGCTGTCAGATGCCCACCTGGGGGTGTGGGCGCTGCTCCACGCTGTCAGATGCTCACCTGGGGGTGTGGGCGCTGCTCCAGGCTGTCAGATGCTCACCTGGGGGTGTGGGTGCTGCTCCAGACTGTCAGATGCTCCCCTGGGGGTGTAGGGTGCTGCTCCAGGCTGTCAGATGCTCACCTGGGGGTGTGGGTGCTGTTCCAGGCTGTCAGATGCTCCCCCTGGAGGTGTGGGGTGCTGTTCCAGGATGTCAGATGCTCCCCTGGAGGTGTGGGGTGCTGCTCCAGGTTGTCAGATGCTCACTGGGGGTGTGGGGTGCTGTTCCAGGATGTCAGATGCTCCCCTGGAGGTGTGGGGTGCTGCTCCAGGCTGTCAGATGCTCACCTGGGGGTGTGGGTGCTGTTCCAGGCTGTCAGATGCTCACCTGGGGGTGTGGGGTGCTGTTCCAGGCTGTCAGGTGCTCACCTGGGGGCGTGGGGTGCTGTTCCAGGATGTCAGATGCTCACCTGGGGGTGTGGGTGCTGCTCCAGACTGTCAGATGCTCCCCTGGGGGTGTAGGGTGCTGCTCCAGGCTGTCAGATGCTCACCTGGGGGTGTGGGTGCTGTTCCAGGCTGTCAGATGCTCACCTGGGGGTGTGGGGTGCTGTTCCAGGCTGTCAGATGCTCACCTGGGTGCGTGGGTGCTGTTCCACGCTGTCATATGCTCATCTGCCAGTAGGGGTGCTGTTTTATGCTGCCAGATGCCCACCTCGGGGTGAGGGTGCTGTTCTAGGTTGTCAGATGCTCCCCTGGGGGTGAGAGTGCTGTTCCGTGCTTTCAGATCCTTACTTGGAGAACTGGGGTTCTGTTCCAGGCTATCAGATGTTCACCTGGAAGCAGTGGGGGGGTTTCCAGGCTGTCAGATGCTCACCTGTGCATGGAGGGTACTTTCCCGGGCTGTCAAATGCTCACCTGGGGGCAGTGGTCTTGTTCCATGCTGTCAGATTTTTGCCTGGGGTGTGGGGTGCTGTTTCAGGCTGTCATATTCTCACCTGAAGGTGGAGGGTGCTGTTCCAGGCTGTCAGATGCTCACCTGAAGGGGGTTGTTTTTCCAGGCTGCCAGATGCTCACCTGGGGGCAGTGGTCTTGTTCCATGCTGTTGGAATCTTACCTGGGGATGTGAGCTGCTGTTCCAGGCTGTCGGATGCTCACCTGCATGTGGGGTACCATTCCAGGCTTTCAGCTGCTCACCTGGCTGTGTGGAGTGCCTATCCAGGCTATCAGATGCTCACCTGCAGTTGTGGGGTGCTGTTCCAGGCTGTCAGACACTCACCTGAGGGCGGGGAGCTTTTCCCCACTTATCAAATTCTTATTTGAAGTTGTGGGGTTCTGTTCCAGGCTGTCAGATGCTCACCTGGGGGTGGAGGGTGTTGTTCCGGGCTGTCATATGCTCACCTTGTGGTGGGCATGGTTTTCCACGCGTCCCCAGGTGAGCATCTGATAACCCGGAACACCACCCTTCACCCCCATGCGAACATCCAAAAACCTACAATGGCACCTTCCATCCCCAGGTGAGGATCTGGCAGCCTGGAATGGCACTCCCAACCTCAGGTGAGCATCCTCACCCAGGGGTGGGCACTGCTGCTCCAGGCTGTCAGATGCTCACCTGAAGGTTCGAGTGTTGATCCAGGCTTTCAGATTCTTACCTAAGTGTGCAGGTGCCGCTCTAGGCTGTCAGACACTTACCTGGGGATGTGGGTTGCCGTTCCTGGCTGGCAAATGATCACCTGGGGTTGTGGGGTGCTGTTTTATGCTGTCAGATGCTCACCTGAGGGGACGTGCTGTTCCACGCAGTCACATCACCTGTGAGTGGGGGTGCTGTTCCATGCCATCGGATGCCCACCTTGGGGTGTGTGGTGCAGGTTCTGGTTGTCAGATGCTCATCTGGTGGTGGAGGGTGCTGTTTCAGGCTGTCAGATGCACACCTGGGGGTGTGGGTGCTGCTCCAGGCTGTCAGATGCTCACCTGGGAGTGTGGGTGCTGCCCCAGGCTGTCAGATGCTCAACTGGGGGTGCAGGGTGCTGCTTTATTCTGTCATATTCTCACCTGGAAGAGCGGGGTTCTGTTCCAGGTAGTCAGATCCTCACCTGGGGTTGGAGAATTCTGTTCCACGCTGTCGGATGCTCACCTGGATGTGAGGATGTCATTCCATACAGTCAGATGCTCGCCTGGGGGTGTGGATGCTGTTCCAGACTGTCAGATGCTCACCTGGGGTTGCAGGGTGCTGTTTTATGCGTCAGATTCTCACCTGGAAGAGTGGGGTTCTGTTCCAGGCTGTCAGATCCTCACCTGTGGTTGGAGAATTCTGTTCCAGGCTGTCGGATGCTCACCTGGAGGTGAGGATGCCATTCCATGCGGTCAGATGCTCACCTGGGGGTGTGGGTGCTGCTCCAGGCTGTCGGATGCTCACCTGGAAGTGAGGATGACATTCCATGCGGTCAGATGCTCCCCTGGGGGTGTGGGTGCTGCTCCAGGCTGTCAGATGCTCACCTGGGGGTGTGGGTGCTGCTCCAGGCTGTCAGATGCTCGCCTGGGGGTGTGGGTGCGGTTCCAGGCTGTCAGATGCTCACCTGGAGGTGAGGATGCCATTCAATGTGGTCAGATGCTCACCTGGGGGAGTGGATGCTGTTCCAGGCTGTCAGATGCTCACCTGGGGGTGTGGGTGCTACTCCAGGCTGTCAGATACTCACCTGGGAGTGTGGGTGCTGCTCCAGGCTGTCAGATGCTCACCTGGGGGTGTGGGCGCTGCTCCAGGCTGTAAGATGCTCACCTGGGGGTGTGGGCGCTGCTCCAGGCTGTCAGATGCTCACCTGGGGGTGTGGGTGTTGCTCCAGGCTGTCAGATTCTCGCCAGCGGGTGTGGGTGCTGTTCCAGGCTGTCATATGCTCATCTGCCAGTAGGGGTGCTGTTTTATGCTGCCAGATGCCCACCTCGGGGTGAGGGTGCTGTTCTAGGTTGTCAGATGCTCCCCTGGGGGTGAGAGTGCTGTTCCTTGCTTTCAGATGCTTACTGGGAGGCCTGGGGTTCTGTTCCAGGCTATCAGATGTTCACCTGGAAGCAGTGGGGGTGTTTCCAGGCTGTCAGATGCTCACGTGTGGGTAGAGGGTGCTTTCCCAGGCTGTCAAATGCTCACCTGGGGGCAGTAGTCTTGTTCCATGCTGTCAGATTTTTGCCTGGGTGCGGGGTGCTGTTTCAGGCTGTCATATTCTCACCTGAAGGTGGAGGGTGCTGTTTCAGGCTGTCAGATGCTCACCTGGGGGTGCAGGGTGCTGTTTTATGCTGTCAGATTCTCACCTGGAAGAGTGGGGTTCTGTTCCAGGTTGTCAGATCCTCACCTGGGGCTTGAGAATTCTGTTCCAGGCTGTCCGATGCTCACCTGGAGGTGAGGATGACATTCCATGTGGTCACATGCTCACCTGGGGGTGTGGGTGCTGCTTCAGGCTGTCAGATGGTCACCTGGGGCTGTAGATGCTGTTCCAGGTTGCCAGATGCTCACCTGGGGGTGTGGGTGCTGCCCCAGGCTGTCAGATCTCACCTGGGGGTATGGGTGCAGCTCCAGGATGTCAGCTACTCAACTGGGGGTGTGGGTGCTGCTCCAGGCTGTCAGATGCTAACCTGGGATTGTGGGCGCCTGCTCCAGGCTGTCAGATGCCCACCTGGGGGTGTGGGCGCTGCTCCACGCTGTCAGATGCTCACCTGGGGGTGTGGGCGCTGCTCCAGGCTGTCAGATGCTCACCTCGGTGTGTGGGCGCTGCTCCAGGCTGTCAGATGCTCACCTGGGGGTGTGGGTGCTGCTCCAGGCAGTCAGATGCTCACCTGGGGGTGTGGGTGCTGCTCCAGGCTGCCAGATGCTCACCTGGGGGTGTGGACGCTGCTCCGGGCTGTCAGATGCTCACCTGGGGCTGTGGGCGCCGCCCCAGGCTGTCAGATGCTCACCTGGGGGTGTGGGTGCTGCTCCAGGCTGTCAGATGCTCGCCCGGGGGTGTGGGCGCTGCTCCAGGCTGTCACATGCTCACCTGGGGGTGTGGGCGCTGCTCCAGGCTGTCAGATGCTCGCCTGGGGGTGTGCATGCTGCTCCAGGCTGTCAGATGCTCGCCTGGGGGTATGGGTGCTGTTCCAGGCTGTCGAATGCTCACCTGGGGGTGTGGGGTTCTGCTCCAGGCTGTCAGATGCTCATCTAGGGGTGTGGGGTGCTGTTCCAGGCTGTCAGATGCTCACCTGGGGGCGTGGGGTGCTGTTCCAGGATGTCAGATGCTCACCTGGGGGTGTGGAGTGCTGTTCCAGACTGTCAGATGCTCCCCTGGGGGTGTGGGGTGCTGCTCCAGGCTGTCAGATGCTCACCTGTGGGTGTGGAGTTCTGTTCCAAGCTGTCAGATGCTCACCTGGGGGTGTGGGGTGCTGTTCCACGATGTCCGATGCTCGCCTGGGGGTGTGGGTGCTGCTCCAGGCTGTCGGATGCTCACCTGGGGGTGTGGGTGCTGCTGCAGGCTGTGAGATGCTCACCTGGGGGTGTGGGTGCTGTTCCAGGCTGTCATATGCTCATCTGCCAGTAGGGGTGCTGTTTTATGCTGCCAGATGCCCACCTCGGGGTGAAGGTGCTGTTCTAGGTTGTCAGACGCTCCCCTGGGGGTGAGAGTGCTGTTCCGTGCTTTCAGATGCTTACTTGGAGGCCTGGGGTTCTGTTCCAGGCTATCAGATGTTCACCTGGAAGCAGTGGGGGTGTTTCCAGGCTGTCAGATGCTCACGTGTGGGTGGAGGGTGCTTTCCCAAGTTGTCAAATGCTCACCTGGGAGCAGTGGTCTTGTTCCATGCTGTCAGATTTTTGCCTGGGGTGTGGGGTGCTGTTTCAGGCTGTCATATTCTCACCTGAAGGTGGAGGGTGCTGTTTCAGGCTGTCAGATGCTCACCTGGGGGTGCAGGGTGCTGTTTTATGCTGTCAGATTCTCACTTGGAAGAGTGGGGTTCTGTTCCAGGTTGTCAGATCCTCACCTGGGGTTTGAGAATTCTGTTCCAGGCTGTCGGATGCTCACCTGGAGGTGAGGATGACATTCCATGTGGTCACATGCTCACCTGGGGGTGTGGGTGCTGCTTCAGGCTGTCAGATGGTCACCTGGGGCTGTAGATGCTGTTCCAGGTTGCCAGATGCTCACCTGGGGGTGTGGGTGCTGCCCCAGGCTGTCAGATGCTCACCTCAGTGTGTGGGCGCTGCTCCAGGCTGTCAGATGCTCACCTGGGGGTGTGGGTGCTGCTCCAGGCTGCCAGATGCTCACCTGGGGGTGTGGACGCTGCTCCAGGCTGTCAGATGCTCACCTGGGGCTGTGGGCACTGCCCCAGGCTGTCAGATGCTCACCTGGGGGTGTGGGTGCTGCTCCAGGCTGTCAGATGCTCGCCCGGGGGTGTGGGCACTGCTCCAGGCTGTCACCTGCTCACTTGGGGGTGTGGGCGCTGCTCCAGGCTGTCAGATGCTCGCCTGGGGTTGTGTGTGCTGCTCCAGGCTGTCAGATGCTCGCCTGGGGGTGTGCGTGCTGCTCCAGGCTGTCAGATGCTCGCCTGGGTGTGTGGATGCTGTTCCAGACTGTCAGATGCTCACCTGGGGTTGCAGGGTGCTGTTTTATGCGTCAGATTCTCACCTGGAAGAGTGGGGTTCTGTTCCAGGCTGTCAGATCCTCACCTGTGGTTGGAGAATTCTGTTCCAGGCTGTCGGATGCTCACCTGGAGGTGAGGATGCCATTCCATGCGGTCAGATGCTCACCTGGGGGTGTGGATGCTGTTCCAGGCTGTCAGATGCTCACCTGGGGGTGCAGGGTGCTGTTTTATGGTGTCAGATTCTCACCTGGAAGAGTGGGGTTCTGTTCCAGGTTGTCAGATCCTCACCTGGGGTTGGAGAATTATGTTCCAGGCTGTCGGATGCTCACCTGGAGGTGAGGATGCCATTCCATGCGGTCAGATGCTCACCTGGGGGTGTGGGTGCTGCTCCAGGCTGTCGGATGCTCACCTGGAAGTGAGGATGACATTCCATGCGGTCAGATGCTCCCCTGGGGGTGTGGGTGCTGCTCCAGGCTGTCAGATGCTCACCTGGGGGTGTGGGTGCTGCTCCAGGCTGTCAGATGCTCGCCTGGGGGTGTGGGTGCGGTTCCAGGCTGTCAGATGCTCACCTGGAGGTGAGGATGCCATTCAATGTGGTCAGATGCTCACCTGGGGGAGTGGATGCTGTTCCAGGCTGTCAGATGCTCACCTGGGGGTGTGGGTGCTACTCCAGGCTGTCAGATACTCACCTGGGAGTGTGGGTGCTGCTCCAGGCTGTCAGATGCTCACCTGGGGGTGTGGGCGCTGCTCCAGGCTGTAAGATGCTCACCTGGGGGTGTGGGCGCTGCTCCAGGCTGTCAGATGCTCACCTGGGGGTGTGGGTGTTGCTCCAGGCTGTCAGATTCTCGCCAGCGGGTGTGGGTGCTGTTCCAGGCTGTCATATGCTCATCTGCCAGTAGGGGTGCTGTTTTATGCTGCCAGATGCCCACCTCGGGGTGAGGGTGCTGTTCTAGGTTGTCAGATGCTCCCCTGGGGGTGAGAGTGCTGTTCCTTGCTTTCAGATGCTTACTGGGAGGCCTGGGGTTCTGTTCCAGGCTATCAGATGTTCACCTGGAAGCAGTGGGGGTGTTTCCAGGCTGTCAGATGCTCACGTGTGGGTAGAGGGTGCTTTCCCAGGCTGTCAAATGCTCACCTGGGGGCAGTAGTCTTGTTCCATGCTGTCAGATTTTTGCCTGGGTGCGGGGTGCTGTTTCAGGCTGTCATATTCTCACCTGAAGGTGGAGGGTGCTGTTTCAGGCTGTCAGATGCTCACCTGGGGGTGCAGGGTGCTGTTTTATGCTGTCAGATTCTCACCTGGAAGAGTGGGGTTCTGTTCCAGGTTGTCAGATCCTCACCTGGGGCTTGAGAATTCTGTTCCAGGCTGTCCGATGCTCACCTGGAGGTGAGGATGACATTCCATGTGGTCACATGCTCACCTGGGGGTGTGGGTGCTGCTTCAGGCTGTCAGATGGTCACCTGGGGCTGTAGATGCTGTTCCAGGTTGCCAGATGCTCACCTGGGGGTGTGGGTGCTGCCCCAGGCTGTCAGATCTCACCTGGGGGTATGGGTGCAGCTCCAGGATGTCAGCTACTCAACTGGGGGTGTGGGTGCTGCTCCAGGCTGTCAGATGCTAACCTGGGATTGTGGGCGCCTGCTCCAGGCTGTCAGATGCCCACCTGGGGGTGTGGGCGCTGCTCCACGCTGTCAGATGCTCACCTGGGGGTGTGGGCGCTGCTCCAGGCTGTCAGATGCTCACCTCGGTGTGTGGGCGCTGCTCCAGGCTGTCAGATGCTCACCTGGGGGTGTGGGTGCTGCTCCAGGCAGTCAGATGCTCACCTGGGGGTGTGGGTGCTGCTCCAGGCTGCCAGATGCTCACCTGGGGGTGTGGACGCTGCTCCGGGCTGTCAGATGCTCACCTGGGGCTGTGGGCGCCGCCCCAGGCTGTCAGATGCTCACCTGGGGGTGTGGGTGCTGCTCCAGGCTGTCAGATGCTCGCCCGGGGGTGTGGGCGCTGCTCCAGGCTGTCACATGCTCACCTGGGGGTGTGGGCGCTGCTCCAGGCTGTCAGATGCTCGCCTGGGGTTGTGTGTGCTGCTCCAGGCTGTCAGATGCTCGCCTGGGGTTGTGTGTGCTGCTCCAGGCTGTCAGATGCTCGCCCGGGGGTGTGGGCGCTGCTCCAGGCTGTCACATGCTCACCTGGGGGTGTGGGCGCTGCTCCAGGCTGTCAGATGCTCGCCTAAGGTTGTGTGTGCTGCTCCAGGCTGTCAGATGCTCGCCTGGGGGTGTGGGTGCTGTTCCAGGCTGTCATATGCTCATCTGCCAGTAGGGGTGCTGTTTTATGCTGCCAGATGCCCACCTCGGGGTGAAGGTGCTGTTCTAGGTTGTCAGACGCTCCCCTGGGGTCGAGAGTGCTGTTCCGTGCTTTCAGATGCTTACTTGGAGGCCTGGGGTTCTGTTCCAGGCTATCAGATGTTCATCTGGAAGCAGTGGGGTGTTTCCAGGCTGTCAGATGCTCACGTGTGGGTGGAGGGTGCTTTCCCAGGTTGTCAAATGCTCACCTGGGAGCAGTGGTCTTGTTCCATGCTGTCAGATTTTTGCCTGGGTTGTGGGGTGCTGTTTCAGGCTGTCATATTCTCACCTGAAGGTGAAGGGTGCTGTTTCAGGCTGTCAGATGCTCACCTGGGGGTGCAGGGTGCTGTTTTAATGTTGTCAGATTCTCACCTGGAAGAGTGGGGTTCTGTTCCAGGTTGTCAGATCCTCACCTGGGGTTTGAGAATTCTGTTCCAGGCTGTCGGATGCTCACCTGGGGGTGTAGGTGCTGCTCCAGGCTGTCGGATGCTCGCCTAGGGGTGTGGGTGCTGCTCCAGGCTGTCAGATACTCACCTGGGGTTGTGGGTGCTGCTCCAGGCTGTCGGATGCTCACCTGCGGGAGTGGGTGCTGCCCCAGACTGTCGGATGCTCACCTGGGGGTGTGGGTGCTGCTCCAGGCTATCGCATCCTCGCCTGGGCGTGTGGGTGCTGCTCCAGGCTGTCAGATGCTCACCCTGGGGGGGTCGGCGCTGCTCCAGGCTGTCGGATGCTCACCTGGGGGAGTATGTGATGCTCCAGGATGTCCGATGCTCACCTGGGGTGAGGATGCTGCTCCACGCTCTCGGATGCTCACCTGGGACTGTGGGTGCTGCTCCAGGTGGTCATATGCTCACCTCTGGGTGTGAGCGCTGCTCCAGGCTATCAGATGCTCACCTGGGGGTGTGGACGCTGCTCCAGGCTGTCAGATGCTCACCTTGGGGTGTGAGCATTTCTCCAGGCTGTCAGATGCTTACCTGGGTGTGTGGGAGCTGCTCCAGGCTGTCAGATGCTCAACTGCGGGTATGGGTGCTGCTCCAGGCTGTCAGATGCTCATCTAGGGGTGTGGGCGCTGCTCCAGGCTGTCGGATGCTCACCTGGGGGAGTATGTGATGCTCGAGGATGTCCGATGCTCACCTGGGGTGTGGGTGCTGCTCCAGGCTGTCGGATGCTCAAATGGGGGTGTGGGTGCTGCTCCAGGCTGTCAGATGCTCACCTGGAGGTGTGGGCGCTGCTCCAGGCTGTCAGATGCTCACCTTGGGGTTTGGGCGCTTCACCAGGCTGTCAGATGCTGACCTGGGTGTGTGGGTGCTGCTCCAGGCTGTCAGATGCTCACCTGGGGGTGTGGGTGCTGCTCCAGGCTGTCAGATGCTCACCTGCGGATGTGGGTGGTGTTCCAGGCTGTCAGATTCTCGCCTGGGTGTGTGGATGCTGCTCCAGGCTGTCAGATGCTCGCCTGTGGGTGCGGGGTGATGTTCCAGGCTGTCAGATACTCACCTTGGGGTGTGGGGTGCTGTTCCAGGCTGTCAGATGCTCACCTGCGGGTGTGCGGTGCTGTTCCAGGCTGTCAGATGCTCGCCTGGAGTTGTGGCTGCTGCTCCATGCGGTCAGATGCTCGCCTGGGGTTGTGGGTGCTGCTCCATGACTTCAGATGCTCGCCTTGGGGTATGGGTGCTGCTCCGGGCGGTCAGATGCTCACCTGGGGGTGTGGGTGCTGCTCCAGGTTGTCAGATGCTCACCTTGGGCTGTGGGTGCTGCTCCACACTATCAGATGCTAACCTGGGGGTGTGGGCACTGCTCCAGGCTGTCAGATGCTCACTTGGGTGTGTGGGCGCTGCTCCGGACTCTCCGATGCTCACCTGTGGTTGTGGGTGCTTCTCCAGACCATCAGATGCTCACCTGGTGGTGTGGGTGCCTTTCCAGGCTGTCAGATGCTCACCTGGGGGTGCAGGGTGATGTTCCAGGCTGTCAGATGCTCACCTGAGGGTGCAGGATACTACTCCAGGCTGTCAGATGCTCACCTGGGGGTGTGGGTGCTGCTCCAGGATGTCAGATGCTCGCCTGGGAGTGTGGGTACTGTTGCAGGCTGTGAGATGCTCACCTGTGGGTGTGGGGTGCTGCTCCACGATGTCGGATGTTCACCTCGGGGTGTGGGTCCTGCTCCAGGCTGTCGGATGCAAGCCTGGGGTTGTTGGTGCTGCTCCAGGCTGTCGAATGCTCACCTGGGGGTGTGGGTGCTGTTCCAGGCTGGCGGATGCTCGCCTGGCGGTGTGGGTGCTGTTCCAGGCTGTCCGATGCTCGTCTGGGAGTGTGGGTGCTGTTCCAGGCTGTCAGATGCTCATCTGGGGGTGTGGGTGCTGCTCCAGGCTGCCCGATGCTCACCTGGGGGTGTGGGGTGCTGCTCCAGGCTGTCAGATGCTCGCCTGGGAGTGTGGGTGCTGATCCAGGCTGTCACATGCCCACCTGGGGGTGTGGGTGCTGCTCCAGGCTGTCGGATACTCACCTGGGTGTGTGGGGTGCTGCTCCAGGCTGTCCGATGCTCGCCTGTGGGTGTGGGTGCTGTTCCAGGACGTCAGATGCTCGCCTGGGGGTGTGGGTGCTGTTCCAGGCTGTCACGTGCGCACCGGGGGTGCAGGGTGCTGTTTCAGGCTGTCAGATGCTTACCTGGGGGTGTGGGTGCTGTTACATGCTGTCAGATGCTCGCCTGGGGGTGTGGGTGCTGTTCTAGGCTGTCAGAGGCTCACCTGAGCGTGTGGGTGCTGTTCCAGTCTGTCAGATGCTCACCTGGGGGTGTGGGTTCTGCTCCAGGCTGTCGGATGTTCACCTGGGGGTGTGGGTGCTGTTCCAGGCTGTCAGATGCTCAACTGGCGGTGTGCGTGCTGCTCCAGCCCGTCAGAGGCTAACCTGGAGGTGTGGGTGCTGTTCCAGGATATAAGATGCTCACCTGGGGGTGTGGGTGATGTTCCAGGCGGTCAGCTGCTCACCTGGGGGTGTGGGTGCTGTTCCAGGTTGTCAGATGCTCACCTGTTGGTGTGGGTGCTGCTTCAGGCTGTCAGATGCTCACCTGGAGTGTGGGTGCTGCTCCAGGCTGTCTGATCCTCACCCGGGGGTGCAGGGTGCTGTTCCAGGCTGTCAGATGCTCGCCTGGGGGTGTGGTTGCTCTTCCAGGCTGTCAGATGCTCACCTGGGGGTGTGGGTGCTGCTCCAGGCTGTCGGATGCTCACCTGGAGGTGAGGATGCCATTCCATGCGGTCAGATGCTCACCTGGGGGTATGGGTGCTGCTCCAGGCTGTCGGATGCTCACCTGGGGTTGTGGGAGCTGTTTCAGGATGTCGGATGCTCACCTGGGGGTGTGGGTGCGGTTCCAGGCCATCAGATGCTCGCCTGGGTGTGTGGGTGCTCTTCCAGGCTGTCATGTGCGCACCTGGGGGTGCAGGGAGCTGTTCCAGGCTGTCAGATGCTCATCTGGGCGTATGGGTGCTGTTCCAGGCTGTCAGATGCTCTCCTTGGGGTGCAGGGTGCTGTTCCACGCTGTCAGATGCTCATCTGGGCGTATGGGTGCTGTTCCAGGTTGTCAGATGCTCGCCTGGGGGTGTGTGTGCTGTTCCAGGGTGTCAGATGCTCGCCTGGGGGTGTGTGTGCTGTTCCAGGGTGTCAGTTGCTCACCTGGGGGTGCAGGGTGCTGTTCCAGGCTGTCAGATGCTCACCTGGGGATGTGGGTGCTGCTCCAGGATGTCAGATGCTCACCTGGGTGTGTGGGTGCTGTTCCACGCTGTCACGTGCGCACCTGGGGGTGCAGGGTGCTGTTCCAGGCTGTCAGATGCTCACCTGGGGGTGTGGGTGCTGTTACATGCTGTCAGATGCTCGCCTGGGGGTGTGGGTGCTGTTCCAGGCGGTCAGATCCTCACCTGGGGGTGTGCGCGCTGTTCCAGGCTGTCAGATGCTCTCCTGGGGGTGCAGGGTGCTGTTCCAGGCTGTCAGAGGCTCACCTGTGGTTGTGGGTGCTGCTCCAGACCATCAGATGCGCACCTGGGGGTGTGGGTGCTGCTCCAGGCTGTCGGATGCTCGCCGGAAGGTGTGGGTGCTGCTCCGTGGGTTCAGATGCTCGCCTGTGGGTGTGGGTACTGTTACAGGCTGTCAGATGCTCACCTGTGGGTGTGGGGTGCTGCTCCACGATGTCGGATGTTCACCTAGGGGTGTGGGTCCTGCTCCAGGCTGTCGGATGCTCACCTGGGGGTGTGGGTGCTGTTCCAGGCTGGCGGATGCTCGCCTGGCGATGTGGGTGCTGCTCCAGGCTGTCCTATGCTCGTCTGGGAGTGTGGGTGCTGTTCCAGGCTGTCAGATGCTCACCTGGGGGTGTGGGTGCTGATCCAGGCTGTCCGATGCTCACCTGGGGGTGTGGGGTGCTGCTCCAGGCTGTCAGATGCTCGCCTGGGAGTGTGGGTGCAGATCCAGGCTGTCACATGCTCACCTGGGGGTGTGGGTGCTGCTCCAGGCTGTCGGATGCTCCCCTGGGGGTGTAGGGTGCTGCTCCAGGCTGTCCGATCCTCGCCTGGGGGTGTGGGTGCTGTTCCAGGCTGTCACTTGCACACCTGGGGGTGCAGGGTGCTGTTCCAGGCTGTCAGATGCTTACCTGGGGGTGTGGGTGCTGTTACATGCAGTCAGATGCTCTCCTGGGGGTGTGGGTGTTGTTCCAGGCTGTCACGTGCACACCTGGGGGTGCAGGGTGCTGTTCCAGGCTGTCAGATGCTTACCTGGGGGTGTGGGTGCTGTTACATGCAGTCAGATGCTCGCCTGGGGGTGTGGGTCCTGTTCCAGGCTGTCAGATGCTCACCTGGGGGTGCGCGTGCTGTTCCAGGCTGTCAGAGGCTCACCTGGGCGTGTGGGTGCTGTTCCAGTCTGTCAGATGCTCACCTGGGGGTGTGGGTTCTGTTCCAGGCTGTCAGATGCTCAACTGTGGGTGTGGGTACTGCTCCAGACCATCAGATGCTCACCTGGAGGTGTGGGTGCCGACCCAGGCTGTCAGATGCTCGCCTCGGGGTGTGGGTTCTGCTCCAGGCTGTCGGATGTTCACCTGGGGGTGTGGATGCTGTTCCAGGCTGTCAGATGCTCAACTGGGGGTGTGCGTGCTGCTCCAGCCTGTCAGATGCTCACCTAGGGGTGTGGGTGCTGTTCCAGGATTTCAGCTGCTCACCTGGGGGTGTGGGTGCTGTTCCAGGCTGTCAGATGCTCACCTGGGGGTGTGGGTGCTGTTCCAGGCTGTCAGATGCTCACCTGTTGGTGTGGGTGCTGCTTCAGGCTGTCAGATGCTCACCTGGAGTGTGGGTGCTGCTCCAGGCTGTCTGATCCTCACCCTGGGGTGCAGGATGCTGTTCCAGGCTGTCAGATACTCGCCTGGGGGTGTGGTTGCTCTTCCAGGCTGTCAGATGCTCACCTGGGGGTGTGGGTGCTACTCCAGGCTGTCGGATGCTCACCTGGAGGTGAGGATGCCATTCCATGCGATCAGATGCTCACCTGGGGGTATGGGTGCTGCTCCAGGCTGTCGGATGCTCACCTGGGGGTGTGGGAGCTGTTTCAGGATGTCGGATGCTCACCTGGGCGTCTGGGTGCAGTTCCAGGCCATCAGATGCTCGCCTGGGTGTGTGGGTGCTGTTGCAGGCTGTCAGGTGCGCACCTGGGGGTGCAGGGACCTATTCCAGGCTGTCAGATGCTCATCTGGGCGTATGGGTGCTGTTCCATGCTGTCAGATGCTCTCCTGGGGGTGCAGGGTGCTGTTCCACGCTGTCAGATGCTCATCTTGGCGTATGGGTGCTGTTCCAGGTTGTCAGATGCTCGCCTGGGGGTGTGTGTGCTGTTTCAGGGTGTCAGATGCTCACCTGGGTTGCAGGGTGCTGTTCCAGGCTGTCAGATCCTCACCTGGGGGTGCAGGGTGCTGCTCCAGGCTGTCAGATGCTCACCTGGGGGTGTGGGTGCTGCTCAAGGATGTCAGGTGCTCGCGTGAGTGTGTGGGTGATGTTCCAGGCTGTCGGATGCTCACCTGTGGTTGTGGGTGCTGCTCCAGACCATCAGATGCTCACCTGGGGGTGTGGGTGCCGTTCCAGGCTGTCAGATGCTCGCCTGGGTGTGTGGGTGCTGCTCCAGGCTGTCGGATGCTCACCTGTGGGTTTGGGGTGCTGCTCCACGATGTCAGATGCTCACCTGTGGTTGTGGGTGCTGCTCCAGACCATCAGATGCGCACCTGGGTGTGTGGGTGCTGCTCCAGGCTGTCGGATGCTCGCCGGGAGGTGTGGGTGCTGCTCCGTGGTTTCAGATGCTCGCCTGTGGGTGTGGGTACTGTTCCAGGCTGTCAGATGCTCACCTGTGGGTGTGGGGTGCTACTCCACGATGTCGGATGTTCACCTGGGGGTGTGGGTCCTGCTCCAGGCTGTCGGATGCACGCCTGGGGTTGTGGGTGCTGCTCCAGGCTGTCGAATGCTCACCTGGGGGTGTGGGTGCTTTTCCAGGCTGGCGGATGCTCGCCTGGCAGTGTGGGTGCTGCTCCAGGCTGTCCGATGCTCGTCTGGGAGTGTGGGTGCTGTTCCAGGCTGTCAGATGCTCATCAGGGGGTGTGGGTGCTGCTCCAGGCTGTCCGATGCTCACCTGGGGGTGTGAGGTGCTGCTCCAGGCTGTCAGATGCTCGCCTGGGGGTGTGGGTGCTGATCCAGGCTGTCACATGCTCACCTGGGGGTGTGGGTGCCGTTCCAGGCCGTCAGATGCTCGCCTGGGGGTGTGTGTGCTGTTCCAGGCTGTCACGTGCGCACCTGGGGGTGCAGGGTGCTGTTCCAGGCTGTCAGATGCTCACTTGGGTGTGTGGGTGCTGTTACGTGCTGTGAGATGCTCGCCTGGGGGTGTGGGTGCTGTTCCAGGCGGTCAGATGCTCACCTGGGTGTGTGCGTGCTGTTCCAGGCTGTCAGATGCTCCCCTGGGGGTGCAGGGTGCTGTTCGAGGCTGTCACAGGCTCAGCTGGGCATGTGGGTGCTGTTCCAGTCTGTCAGATGCTCACCTGGGGGTGTGGTTTCTGTTCCAGGCTGTCAGATGCTCACCTGTGGGTGTGGGTGCTGCTCCAGACCATCACATGCGCACCTGGGGGTGTGGGTGCTGCTCCAGGCTGTCGGATGCTCGCCTGGAGGTGTGGGTGCTGCTCCTTGCGTTCAGATGCTCGCCTGGGGGTGTGGGTGCTCCTCCACGCTGTCAGATGCTCACCTGGGGGTGTGGGCACTGCTCCAGGCTGTCAGATGCTCGCCTGGGGGTGTGGGCGCTGCTCCAGACTCTCCGATGTTCACCTGTGGTTATGCGTGCTGCTCCAGACCATCAGATGCTCACCTGGGGGTGTGGGTGCCGTTCCAGGCTGTCAGATGCTCGCCTGGGGGTGTGGGTGCTTCTCCAGGCTGTCGGATGCTCACTTGGGGGTGCAGGGTGCTGTTCCAGGCTGTCAGATGCTCACCTGGGGGTGTGGGTGCTGATACATGCAGTCAGATGCTCGCCTGTGGGTGTGGGTGCTGTTCCCGGCTGTCACATGCTCACCTGGGGGTGTGCGTGCTGTTCCAGGCTGTCAGAGGCTCACCTGGGCATGGGGGTGCAGTTGCAGTCTGTCAGATGCTCACCTGGGGGTGTGGGTTCTGTTCCAGGCTGTCAGATGCTCACCTGTGGGTGTGGGTTCTGCTCCAGACCATCAGATGCGCACCTGGGGGTGTGGGTGCGGACCCAGGCTGTCAGATGCTCGCCTGGGGGTGTGGGTTCTGCTCCAGGCTGTCAGATGCTCACCTGAGGGTGTGGGTGCTGCTCCAGGCTGTCGGATGCTCGCCTGGGGGTGTGGGTGCTGCTCTGTGCGTACAGATACTCGCCTGGGAGTGTGGGTGCTGCTCCAGGTTGTCAGATGCTCACCTTGGTCTGTGGGTGCTGCTCCATGGTGTCAGATGCTCACCTGGGGGTGTGGGCACTGCTCCAGGCTGTCAGATGCTCGCCCTGCAGTGTGGGCGCTGCTCCAGACTCTCCGATGCTCACCTGTGGTTGTGGGTGATGCTCCAGACCATCAGATGCTCACCTAGGGGTGTGGGTGCCGTTCCAGGCTGTCAGATGCTCGCTTGTGGGTGTGTGTGCTGCTCCAGGCTGTGGGATGCTCACCTGGGGGTGCAGGGTGCTGTTCCAGGCTCTCAGATGCTCACCTGGGGTGTGGGTGCTGCTCCAGGCTGTCAGAAGCTCACCTGTGGGTGTGGGGTGCTGCTCCACGATGTCAGATGCTCACCTGGGGGTGTGGGTGCTGTTCCAGGCAGTCAGATGCTCACATGGGGGTGTGGGTGCTGTTGCAGGCCGTCCGATGCTCGCCTGGGGGTGTGGGTGCTGATCCAAGCTGTCACGTGCACACCTGGGGGTGCAGGCTGCTGTTCCAGGCTGTCAGATGCTCACCTGTGGGTGTGGGTGCTGTTACATGCTGTCAGATGCTCGCCTGGGGGTGTGGGTGCTGTTCTAGGCTGTCAGATGCTCGTCTGGGGGTGTGGGTGATGCTCCAGGCTGTCGGATGCTCACCTGGGTGTGCAGGGTGCTGTTCCAGGCTGTCAGATGCTCACCTGGGGTGTGGGTGCTGCTCCAGGCTGTCAGATGCTCACCTGTGGGTGTGGGGTGCTGCTGCACGATGTCAGATGCTCACCTGGGGGTGTGGGTGCTGTTCCAGGCCGTCAGATGCTCACCTGGGGTTTTTGGTGCTGTTCCAGGCTGTCGGATGCTCGCCTGGGGGTGTGGTTGCCGTTCCAGGCTGTCAGATGCTCACCTGGGGGTGTGGGTGCTGCTCCAGGCTGTCGGATGCTCACCTGGAGGTGAGGATGCCATTCCATGCGGTCAGATGCTCACCTGGGGGTATGGGTGTTGCTCCAGGCTATCGGATGCTCACCTGGGGTTGTGGGAGCTGTTTCAGGATGTCGGATGCTCACCTGGGGGTGTGGGTGCCGTTCCAGGCCATCAGATGCTCGCCTGGGTGTGTGGGTGCTGTTCCAGTCTGTCAGGTGCGCACCTGGGGATGCAGGGAGCTGTTCCAGGCTGTCACATGCTTATCTGGGCGTATGGGTGCTGTTCCACGCTGTCAGATGCTGTCCTGGGGGTGCAGGGTGCTGTTCCATGCTGTCAGATGCTCATCTGGGCGTATGGGTGCTGTTGCAGGTTGTCAGATGCTCGCCTGGGGGTGTGTGTGCAGTTCCAGGGTGTCAGATGCTCGCCTGGGGGTGTTTGTCCTGTTCCAGGTTGTCAGATTCTCACCTGGGGGTGCAAGGTGCTGTTCCAGGCTGTCAGATGCTCACCTGGGGATGTGGGTGCTGCTCCAGGCTGTCAGATGCTCACCTGGCTGTGTGGGTGCTGTTCCAGGCTGTCACGTGCGCACCTGGGGGTGCAGGGTGCTGTTCCAGGCTGTCAGATGCTCACCTGGGTGTGTGGGTGCTGTTACATGCTCTCAGATGCTCGCCTGGGGGTGTGGGTGCTGTTCCAGGCGGTCAGATGCTCACCTGGGGGTGTGCGTGCTGTTCCAGGCTGTCAGATGCTCCCCTGGGGGTGCAAGGTGCTGTTCCAGGCTGTCAGAGGCTCAGCTGGGCATTTGGGAGCTGTTCCAGTCTGTCAGATGCTCACCTGGGGGTGTGGGTTCTGTTCCAGGCTGTCAGATGCTCACCTGTTGGTGTGGGTGCTGCTCCAGACCATCACATGCGCACCTGGGGGCGTGGGTGTTGCTCCAGGCTGTCCGATGCTCGCCTGAAGGTGTGGGTGCTGCTCCGTGCGTTCAGATGTTCGCCTGGGGGTGTCGGTGCTGCTCCACGCTGTCAGATGCTCAGCTGGGTGTGTGGGCACTGCTCCAGGCTGTCAAATGCTCGCCTGGGGGTGTGGGCGCTGCTCCAGACTCTCCGATGTTCACCTGTGGTTATGCGTGCTGCTCCAGACCATCAGATGCTCACCTGGGGGTGTGGGTGCTGCTCCAGGCTGTCGGATGCTCACTTGGGGGTGCAGGGTGCTGTTCCAGGCTGTCAGATTCTCACCTGGGGATGTGGCTGCTGCTCCAGGCTGTCAGATGCTCACCTGTGGGTGTGGGGTGCTGCTCTACGATGTCAGATGCTCACCTGGGGGTGTGGGTGCTGCTCCAGGCTGTCGGATGCTCGCTTGGGGTTGTGGGTGCTGATCCAGGCTGTCCAATGCTCAACTGGGGGTGTGGGTGCTGTTCCAGGCCGTCAGATGCTCGCCTGGGGGTGTGGGTGCTGTTGCAGGCTGTCACGTGCGCACCTGGGGGTGTGCGTGCTGTTGCAGGCTGTCAGATGCTCACCTGGGGGTGCAGGGTGCTGTTCAAGGCTGTCAGAGGCTCACCTGGGCATGGGGGTGCAGTTCCAGTCTGTCAGATGCTCACCTGGGGGTCTGGGCTCTGTTCCAGGCTGTCAGATGCCCACCTGTGTGTGTGGGTGCTGCTCCAGACCATCAGATGCGCACCTGGGGGTGTGGGTGCCGACCCAGGCTGTCAGATGCTCGCCTGGGGGTGTTTGTTCTGCTCCACGGTGTCGGATGCTCACCTGGGTGTGTGGGTGCTGTTCCAGGCTGTCGGATGCTCACTGGGGGTGTGCCTGCTGCTCCAGGCTGTCAGATGCTCACCTGAGGGTGTGGGTGCTGCTCCAGGCTGTCGGATGCTCGCCTGGGGATGTGCGTGCTGCTCCAGGGTGTCAGATGCTCCCCTGGGGGTACAGGGTGCTGTTCCAGGCTGTCAGAGGCTCAGCTGGGCATGTGGGAGGTGTTCCAGTCTGTCAGATGCTCACCTGGGGGTGTGGGTTCTGTTCCAGGCTGTCAGATGCTCACCTGTCGGTGTGGGTGCTGCTCCAGACCATCACATGCGCACCTGGGGGTGTGGGTGCTGCTCCAGGCTGTCCGATGCTCGCCTGAAGGTGTGGGTGCTGCTCCGTGCGTTCAGATGCTCGCCTGGGGGTTTGGGTGCTGCTCCACGCTGTCAGATGCTCACCTGGGTGTGTGGGTACTGCTCCAGGCTGTCAGATGCTCGCCTGGGGGTGTGGGCGCTGCTCCAGACTCTCCGATGTTCACCTGTGTTTATGCGTGCTGCTCCAGACCATCAGATGCTCACCTGGGGGTGTGGGTGCTGCTCCAGGCTGTCGGATGCTCACTTGGGGGTGCAGGGTGCTGTTCCAGGCTGTCAGATGCTCACCTGGGGGTGTGGGTGCTGCTCCAGGCTGTCAGATGCTCACCTGTGGGTGTGGGGTGCTGCTCCACGATGTCAGATGCTCACCTGGGGGTGTGGGTGCTGCCCCAGGCTGTCGGATGCTCGCTTGGGGATGTGGGTGCTGATCCAGGCTGTCCAATGCTCAACTGGGGGTGTGGGTGCTGTTCCAGGCCGTCAGATACTCGCCTGGGTGTGTGGGTGCTGTTACAGGCTGTCACGTGCGCACCTGGGGGTGTGCGTGCTGTTCCAGGCTGTCAGATGCTCACCTCGGGGTGCAGGGTGCTGTTCAAGGCTGTCAGAGGCTCACCTGGGCATGGGGGTGCAGTTCCAGTCTGTCAGATGCTCACCTGGGGGTCTGGGCTCTTTTCCAGGCTGTCAGATGCCCACCTGTGGGTGTGGGTGCTGCTCCAGACCATCAGATGCGCACCTGGGGGTGTGGGTGCCGACCCAGGCT
>NW_009646209.1:0-101150 GCF_000001405.40 Homo sapiens | reverse complement strand
GAAAAAAATGCTCATCATCACTGGCCATCAGAGAAATGCAAATCAAAACCACTATGAGATATCATCTCACACCAGTTAGAATGGCAATCATTAAAAAGTCAGGAAACAACAGGTGCTGGAGAGGATGTGGAGAAATAGGAACACTTTTACACTGTTGGTGGGACTGTAAACTAGTTCAACCATTGTGGAAGTCAGTGTGGCGATTCCTCAGGGATCTAGAACTAGAATTACCATTTGACCCAGACATCCCATTACTGGGTATATACACAAAGGACTATAAATCATGCTGCTATAAAGACACATGCACATGTATGTTTATCGCGACATTATTCACAATAGCAAAGACTTGGAACCAAGCCAAATGTCCAACAATGATAGACTGGATTAAGAAAATGTGGCCCATATACACCAGGGAATACTATGCAGCCATAAAAAATGAGGAGTTCATGTCCTTTGTAGGGACATGGATGAAACTGGAAATCATCATTCTCAGTAAACTATCGCAAGATCAAAAAACCAAACACCACATATTCTCACTCATAGGTGGGAACTGAACAATGAGATCACATGGACACAGGAAGGGGAACATCACACTCTGGGGACTGTGGTGGGGTGGGTGGAGGGGGAGGGATAGCATTGGGAGATATACCTAATGCTAGATGATGAGTTAGTGGATGCAGCGCACCAGCATGTCACATGTATACATATGTAACTAACCTGCACAATGTGCACATGTAACCTAAAACTTAGAGTATAATAAAAACAACAACAACAACAACAACAACAACAACTTGGCCAGGCCCGGTGGCTCACGCCTGTAATCCCAGCACTTTGGGAGGATGAGGCAGGCAGATCACAAGGTCAGGAGATTGAGACCGTCTTGGCCAATATAGTGAAACCCATCTCTACTAAAATACAATAAAAAGAAAGAAAGAAAAATAACCAGGCGTAGTGGCACGTGCCTGGAGTCCTAGCTACTTGGGACGCTGAGGCTGAGGCAGGGGAATCGCTTGAACCCGGGAGGCGGAGGTTGCAGTGAGGCCAGATTGCACCACTGCACTCCAGCCTGGTGACAGAGCGAGACTCCATCTCGAAAAAACAACAAAAAAAAACTTTATTTCTTCAGATTTATGTTACTGTTTACATGTGTAAACTATAATTTCAAGTTCTTCAGTGCTGTCTTTATCCATTCATTCATTTATAGTGCCTGTTATGTTGCAGCTCTGTTCTAGGGATTGGGTATTGAACAACGGATCAGACAGTGTTAGTTTTGGTCATCCCAGGAAAACTAAGCAGAGGCTTGCTCAAGAACTACTGACGTCTTGGTGGGGTTCGGAGATTGGGGGAAGAGGAGATGGACAAAGTCTCCCAAGAGGAAGTAGTATTGGGTCTGCAGAATGACCCAACAAAGAATGAGGGCAAGGGATTCCAGGCAGTGGGAATTACTTGTACATAGGCCCTGAGACCTGAGAGCAGCGTGGGTTTGAGGCTCACGGTAGGAAGATTAGTAAGGCTGTAGCTAAGGAGAGGAGGAGGAAAAAACAGGGTTGGAAGGAGGGAGGAGAAATTAGATAAGGCTGGAAAAGTCAACCAGAGCCAGATCAGAAAGGTTCTGTAACCATGTGAGAAATGTATTACATATGTGAACTATACATTTATATCTCATGTCATTGGATTTTTGAGGTGGAAAATATTTAATTTATACCTGAAGAATGACTATAAATTTCTTTCTTTCCACATATTCTTAAATGATCTCATCAATTTAATTTTAAATAATTCAATCACCATTTAGCTCGTTTTTTTTTTTGAGACAGGGTCTTGTTCTGTCACCCAGGCTGGAGTATAGTGGTGCAATCATAGCTCACTACACCCTCAAACTCTTGGGCTCAAGCAATCCTCTCAGCTGAGCCTCCTGAGTAGATGTGACTACAGGTGTGTGCCACCATACCCAGCTAATTTATTTATTTATTTAGAGACAAGAGTTTTGCTCTTGTTGCCCAAGCTGGAGTGCAATGGTGTGATCTTGGCTCACTGCAACCTCCGCCTCCCAGGTTCAAGCAATTCTCCTGCATCAGCCACCCAAGTAGCTGAGATTACAGGCATGCACCACCATGCCTGGCTAATTTTGTATTTTTAGTAGAGATGGGGTTTCTCCATGTTGGTTCGGCGGGTCTTGAACTCCTAACTTAAGGTGATCCTCCTGCCCTGGCCTCCCAAAATGCTGGATTACAGGTGTGAGCCACTGTGCCCAGCCCCTAATTTTTTTTTTAGTTTTATTTACTTTGAATAGAGATAAAGTCTGATTTTGTTGCCCAATTTGTTCTCGAATGCCTGGCCTCAAGTGATCCTCCTGCCTCGTCCTCCCAAAGTGCTAAGATTACAGGCATGAACCAGCACACCCAGCCTGGAAATTCTTTTACAGTCTAAGAAACATAATTTGGATAAATATTTACTGCCAAATGAGTTACTAAATATTTAAAAGGACAAGATTAAATGGTCTTTTAGGTTTCTTTTAACTTGGAGATTTGTATCCAAGGAGATTTCACCTGAGACTGAAGTTATTTCCTACTGTCAGCGATAATGGAAGCACTACAGTTGTGGCATTCAAGTATTACAGTGAATTACAATTATACTGTCAGCAATATTATGTTAACAGTACATTGTTTATGGCAATATTATCTAACATATTTTAAGCCCTGTTCCTTTTGTTACTGAGAGGTCTAAAATAACATTTTACAAGTATAGTTGAATATAGCATCAGTAAATTGGTTATGAGGAAGACTCCTTCATAATTGCTTTTAAGGATTAAACATGTATCTAAGGACAACACCAAGGAACTACTAGAAATAACCCTCGAGTCAGTCTTTTCCGTTCTGTTTCCACACCCTTAGTTTTCTATTACTTTTAGGAATGACCTTTGTTAACTAAGTCATTAAAATCCAATAAACATAAACTCTTCAGACCCCACTGCTGGATCATACTCTTGGCAGCAAGCAGAGGAAGGCAGGGGCTACCACTGTTTTACAGAATAATAGTAAGTCAATGATCCAAGAAATGACTTCCCAGGGAAACGGCAAATTAAATACGTTCACAACCTTGGGCTGTTGAGAGTGGTTTTGGCTCTTGGTTTGCACATTGACGTCTTTAATTATTTTCTTGCTAAACCAACTTCAGTATTGGAAAGATAGCTCATGTATAAAATAACATGGAAAATGTACATCACATCCCATTTGTTTTGGGTTTTTGTCTTTTTTTTTTCTTTTTTTGGAAAATAGTTCAATAGTACTATCTCTTCCTTAATTTCTTAATGAGTGTCAATACCAAGGGGCAGCTTTGGGGATCTTTAGCCCAAATCTAAGCAAAAATATAATCTGAGCAAAAACTGTGTATATTTATCAAATGCAACATCAAGACAAGCCCCCCAGCTCCCACTTGGTGCTGCCTGTTCTGTAAGCTCTTGCTATATATATATATATAAAAAAAATCTGGGGTTAGTTTAGGCCCAGCGGGCAGCAGTTTTCTGCTACACATGTTTCTTTCTGTTTTTGTTTGTTTGTTTGTTTGTTTGTTTTTTGTTTTTTGAGACAGAGTCTTGCTTTGTTACCCAGGCTGCAGTGTAGTGACACTAGCTTGGCTCACTGCAACCTCCGCCTCCCAGGTTCCAGCGATTCTCCTGTCTCAGCCTCCCAAGTAGCTGGGATTACAGGTGCACACCATCACGCCTGGCTAATTTTGTATTTTTATAGAGACAGGTTTTCACCGTGTTGGTCAGGCTGGTCTCGAACTCCTGATCTCATGTGATCCACCTGCCTCGGCCTCCCAAAATGCTGGGATTATAGGCGTGTGCCACTGTGCCCAGCCTTTTTCTGCCCCCCACCTTTTTTTTGTAGTTGTTGTTTTTAGAGAGACAGGGTCTTGCTGTGTTGCCCAGGTATGCCTCAAACTCCTGGGTTCAAGGGATCCTCCCCCATCAGCCTCCCTGGGCTTATGCATGTTTTTAAAGAAATGGTAGATAAGAGATCTAAGGTATTCCAGTGACTATGAAACTGAGGTGAATGACTAAGGGACTGAGACTTCTCTCTCCAAACCTGTTTCTCCACTAGTCTTCCAAGCCTTCCCAGTTACTCCAACCTGAAAATGAGTCATCCTTGGCTCCTCATTACCAACCCTCACCCCACCCTTCTCCATCCACCAGCAGATCTGTTTATTCCACTTCCAAAATATACCCCAGATGTTCTTCCTCTTCCTCCGTACTCCAAGCTACCATGCCGTGTAAGTTATGATTGTGATTTTTGCATGTCTTCTTCCACTGCTACCTGGAGGCTGGAGTGACCTTTCAAAATATACATCAGATCAGATCATGTCACTCTCCTGCCAAAAGCCCTCCAAAGTTCTTACGGTGATCTAGCTGCCTCTTCAAACTCATCACACATCTGATCTTAGATGTATTATGCTTCAAGCACATTGGTCTTCTTGTAGTCCCTCAAACAAGCTTCTTTCAGGACTATGGCTCTGAACAAGCTTTCCTCTCTGCCAGGGATGTTATTCCCTCCTGCTATGGCAGGTCTGACTCCTAATGTCCTTTAATCTTTGCCTAAATTTCACCTCCTCCAGCCCTTACCTGGCTTCCTAAAGTGGTGGTGCCCCCTCTCTGATGTTATTTTATCTCTGTGCTTTTCTCTTAACAGTAATAATCAGAACTTGTAATTATTTTGTTAATATTTAAAATCTAGCTGGACATGGTGGCTCACGCCTATAATCCCAGCATTTTGGGAGGCCAAGGCGGGAGGATCACCTGAGGTCAGGGGTTCGAGACCAGTCTGGCCAACTGGCAAAACCCCATCTCTACTAAAAATACAAAATTAGCCAGGTGTCATGTTGCACACCTGTAATCCTAGCTACTCACGTGGCTCAGGCAGGAGAATTTCTTGAACCCAGGAGGCAGAGGTTGCAGTGAGCCGAGATAGCACCACTGTTCTCCAGCCTGGGAGAGAAGAGCAATGTGGGGTAGGGGGAGGGGGAAGGGATAGCATTAGGAGATATACCTAATGCTAAATGACGAGTTAATGGGTGCAGCACACCAGCATGGCGCATGTATACATATGTAAGTAATCTGCACATTGTGCACATGTACCCTAAAACTTAAAGTATAATAATAATTTTTAAAAAATCTACTTTCTTCACTCGACTGTAGGGTGGTGGAAGAGGTCAGGGGACCTGTCTGCCCTGTTTGCCATCCTGTTCCTAGTGCCTAACATGGAGTAAACCCTAAACATTCATGGAATGGATAGCACTGCTGTTCACAGATATATGCCTTACCTACTTTCATTTCCTTGAGTGTTGTGGTGGTGTTAAAAAAGAAAGCTATTTTATTCTACGTTATTCTTCAACACAAAGGGCTGTGCTCCAGTGAAATTTGAAGTGCCTTTTGTGGAGTGTACTTTGAGTAAAGTTCATTTAAATCAGGTACTTATAAATGTTAAGTCAATTACAAATATGGTGTCCCATTTTCTTTTCTAACCTAAACTAGATGTTTTAAAAGAGTCTTATTCTATCCGGTAAGAATAAGGAAAGAGGCAAGTAATCTTATTTTTTGGACCAAGGGGCCACGAGGTCATAAGACCTAAAAATCTTTACACTCCCAGGCAACACCTGCTCATTAATTATCTGGGAGACTGGTAAGGATTTAAAATTAATTTTTTCCTTAAGCCCAGGAATCATTTAAAAAATCTGTATAACATTTTTTTCTCATGTAGTCTTAGCCCCAAAGAATATTAAGTCTATCAATTAGGTTATAATTCAAATCTTATCAAGAAATAAATGCTTATATAAATCAAGATTAAAAAAAATTTCAAAGCAGCGTTTTTTAAACAGTCACTTTTTAAAATCCCCATCAAAATGGTAAAATTCATTGTGATCCTGACCTCTGATGCTGTCAGCCACAGGAAGGGGCAAAACAACTTGAGGTTGAAGCCGTGTCTTTCCCAAAGCTCAGGTTCACCAAACATGGTCTCCAGATGGAGTCTGCTCCTCAGAACCTGGGCTTTACTTCTCGATGGGAGAAGGAAGCAGTGTTAAAACTTGTCTATTCTGAACTAGCCAACCAGATTAAAGGAGGGGTTTGTGCATACCAACATCACCCCAGAATGACCTGAATGACTCACTACATGCAGACAGTGGTGCAAACTCATTAACAAGTAAACAACTCACACCAGTGCTCTGTGCTCACAGGGCTGGGGGCATTCCTGGGTATTTTTCTTAAGGGAGGCTGGAAGAAGGGAGGAGGCATTCCTTTCTCCCAGAGGCAAAGGCCAGTTCCTTTTGCTGTGCCCCAGGCCTTTCCTGGTTGTTATAAACTCTTCCAGGCCTTTTCTTGGGAAGGTGCTCTCATCCCCACACTCCTGCCTCCTCCCTCCACCTGTTGTGCACTCCCTGAGAGAAACAAAACAAGTTAATTAGCTTATTCAGCTACTTCGGAAGCTGAGGGGGGAGGACTGCTTGAGCCTAGGAGTTTGGATTCAGCCTGGGCAACATGTCGAGACCCCATCTCTAATTTTTTTTTTAAGTTTTTTTTTTTAATTTAAATTAACATATTCAGGCTAGTGCATGTACTTCCGTTCTCTACTGAAGTAATTCACCCTAAATTGAAACTAGCATTGCTAGTTTAGTGTATTACTCCTCTCTAGGCAGCCTCTCTCTCTCTCTGTATATATTTTGTTTGTTTGTTTGTTTTGTTTTGTTTTGTTTTTTGAGACAGAGTTTCACTCTTGTCGCCCAGGCTGGAGTGCAATGGCACAAGCTAGGCTCACTGCAACCTCCACCTCCTGGGTTCAAGCTATTCTTCTGCCTCAGCCTCCCAAGTAGCTGGGACCACAGAATGTGTGTGACCACACCTGGCTAATTTTTTTATTTTTTTGAACTGGAGTCTCACTTTGCTCCCCAGGCTAGTCTTGCCACTATCCTAGTTTTTCTTCTGTATTATTAGACGGGGTCTCAGTGTCCTTGAACTTCAAGGAATTAACATTGAGTGTAGTATTAGTAAAACTTATCTTCTATTCATGAAAAGTCAATCATTTTTTTAAAAAAAGATCCCACAATTATTATAAGCAGAAACAAATTAAAAGGTTGTATACATACTGCTTGAAAAACACAACTTACCAAAACCAAATATAAGAGTATGTATACCCGTATATTTATGAAATAAATAGAATCCATAATTTAAAACTTCCTCACAAAAACAATCCCCAGTTCCTGATGGCATCACTGGTGAATTCCTCAATGAAAGGGAAAAAATAACACCAACATTACAGATTTTTTTTTAAATCTTAGGGACAGAGTCTCACTATGTTGCCCAGGCTGGAGTCAGTGGCTATTCACAGTCACGTTCCAGTTATCCTCCCACCTCAGCCTCTTGAGTAGATGGGCCTAGAGGATACAGAAACTTTTAAGAGAACAAAAATAAAGGGAACTCCTGAGCTCAAGCACTTCTCCCACCTCGGCCTCCCAAAGTGCTGGGATTACAGGCATGAACCACTGTGTCCCGCTTAGTGTGCTGTTTTTAAAAATGACTTTTGGGCTCGTGTTCATGTGACTGATTAGCCTGTAGTTTTACTTTTTGTAATTTTTTAGACTACTTTTGGTATCAAGTTTATTGTAATCTCAAAAACTGAGCATGGCTCTGTTCCCTTTATTTTTGTTCTCTTAAAATTTCTGGCCAGGTGCAGTGGCTCACACCTGTAATCCCAGCACTTTGGGAGGCCGAGGCGGGCAGATCATGAGGTGAGGAGATCGAGACCATCCTGGCTAACACGGTAAAACCCCGTGTCTGCTAAAAATACAACAACAAACTATTTAGCCGGGTGTGGTGGTGGGTGTCTGTAGTCCCAGCTACCAGGGAGGCTGAGACAGGAGAATGGTGTGAACCCGGGAGGCGGAGTTTGCAGTGAGCTGAGACTGCGCCACTGCACTCCAACCTGGGTGACAGAGCGAGACTCTGTCCCAAAAAAGAAGTTTCTGTAGCCTGTAGTCCCAGCTACTCCGGAGGCTGAAGTAGGAGGATCACTGGAACGTGACTGTCACTTGAGGGTATGATGGTCAGCTGGGTTTCCACCCCTTTGATGCACTTCAAATCCTGTGTATCCCACAAAGACTTGCTCCTTTCTAAAGGCTATGGTTTACGTTCAACAGAATAGCAGCAACCACCATAAGCCTGAAGGCTGGCTAGTCTTTAATATTCTGCCCTATTCAAAGAAATGAGTCTTTCCCTCATTCCTAAGGATCTCCCAGGTCCATTACAAAAAAAGAAGGAGCAGCAAGGTGCAGTGGCTCATGCCTGTAATCCCAGCTCTTTGAGAGGCCAAGGCGGGCGGATAACCTGAGGTGAGGAGTTTGAGACCACCCTGGCCAACATGGTGAAACCGCATCTCTATTAAAACTACAAAAATCAGCTGGGCATGGTGGTGTGTGCCTGTAATCCCAGCTACTAGGGAGGCTGAGGCAGGAGAATTGCTTGAACCTGGGAAGTGGAGGTTGCAGTGAGCCAAGATCATGCCACTGCATTCCAGCCTTGGGGACAGAGCAAGACTGTCTCAAAAAAAAAAAAAAAATTCTTACCTCCTGGAAGTATTTTACTAGTGTTGGTTTCTATTTGACACTAAACACTTCCCCAGGCCAGTGTATTAGCAGTTAGCTCCTTACTGAATATTATCTGTAGCAAACAGTAGCTGACTCCTAGCTCTCTTCAGTGAACTTGAATTGAAATTTATAGAATTCTCATGACTTCTATTTCATCTTGAAACCCAGATATTTCTTCCTTTTCCTAGTGATTTACCTTTCAATTATATGTAGACTGAACCAGTCCCAGCTGTCTTTAGTTGGTCTCTATTCAAACACTGTACTTTTGTTTCTTGATTACATCTTCAATTATTTTAGTTATTTCTGAGATTCTCCCCTGTAATTTCTCCAACTATCTAGGGCATAAAGAGTGCATGAATAACATTATGAAGGCTGTGAGACTTCAAATAAATGAGTAGCCTTTCTGAGTCTCAGTTTTCTCCTCTGTAAACCAGGAATAATTTTCACTGAACAAAGTTGTTCTAAGGATTAGTGAAATGTATGTACAGCCTTTAGCATTTAATAGGTGATCAAATGGTAAGTGATGGTTATAAAATGTTTTTATCATGGTAAAATATACAAAGCATAAAACTTACCAGCCTTTTAATCTAAATTGTCTTATTGTGATAGGCTTGCTTATAGTAAAACAAACTCTTATCTTTTTAGTATCTGTAGGATCTATAGTGATAACTGTTCACTCCTTATATTCTAACTTGTGCCTAATTAGTTAGGCACAACTCTTACTAATTAGTTATCTATTGCTGCATAAGAAATTACCTGAAACTTAATGTCTTCAAACAACAACAAGTATTTATTATCTGTGATAGGCAGACTTCTAAGATGTTTCCCATGATCTCGATGTCCTGGTGTTATACTCTGTATGATCTCTTCCTTTTTTAGTGTGGATGGGATCACTGCCCAAACTTTTGGATGAAATCGAGTGAGTGTGAGAAGGATCTGTGACTTGTTTCTAACTGACATAATATTGCAAATGTGATGGGTTGTTACTCCTGTGATATGTGTGTGTGTGTGTGTGCACACAGAAGAAAGGAGAGAGAAGAGGAGAGGAGGAGGAGAGAGACATACATTAGGATATGAGATAGACATATTGCTGGCATGCACACAAGATTCTCCTTGCTGATTTGATGAAGTGTGTGACCATATTGAGGAAGCCCAACAGCAGGTGGTGTCTAGGACCTGAGGGTGGCCTCCAGCCAATACCCAATAAAAAACATAGCTACACAATCATACAGACATAAGAAAATGAATTTTGTCAACAACCTCAATGAGCTTGAACCTAGCTCAGCTGACACCTTGCCTGCAACCTTGTGAAACCCTATGCAGTGAACCCAGTTGAGTTGTGACCAAATTCCTGACCCACAGAAAATACGAGACAATAAATACGTTTTTTTCCTCCTTTTTTTTTTTTTTTTTTGAGACAGTTTCACTCTTGTTTCCCAGGCTGGAGTGCAGTGGTGCGCTCTCAGCTCCCCACAACCTCTACCTCCCGGGTTCAAGCAATTATCCTGCCTCAGCCTCCCAGGTAGCTGAGATTATAGGCATGTGCCACCACACCCAGCTAATTTTGTATTTTTAGTAGAGATAAGGTTTCTGCATGTTGGTCAGGCTGGTCTTGAACTCCTGACCTCAGGTGATCTGTCTGCCTCGGCCTCCCAAAGGGCTGGGATTACAGGTATGAGCCACGGTAACTGGCCTTTTCTCATATGTTTATAGCAGCACAATCTGCAACTGAAAAAATATGGAATCAGTTCAAATGCCCATTAGTGAACGAATGGATAAAGACAATGTGGTATATATGTAGCATGGAATACTACTCAGCCATAAAAAGAAACAAAATAATGGCATTTGCAGCAATCTGGATGGAATTGGAGACTTGTTCTATGTGAATTAACTCAGGAATGGAAAACCAAATATCATATGTTCTCACTCATAGGTGGGAGCAAAGCTATGAAGATGCAAAGGCATAAGAATGATACAATTGACTCTGGGGACCCAGGGGAAAGGGTGGGAGGGGGATGAGGGAGAAAAGACTACACATTGGGTACAGTGTACCCTGCTCGAGTGATGGGTGCACTAAAATCTCAGAAATCATCACTAAAGAAGTTATTCATGTAACCAAACACCATCTGTTCCCCAAAAACCTATTGAAATAAAAAATAAATTTAAAGAAAAGGAAGTAAAAAAAACACTTAAAAAAGAATAAACATGTATTTTCTTAAATGAAATCCTGACCCACAGAAACTGTATAAGAGAAAATATACTAGACAATATATGTATATTTCCTGAGATGTTCATTTGTTGTACAACAATAGCAAACTAATATAGAGCTTCTGTGGTTCCTGATTTGAGAAATGCTTTAGCTAGGTTGTTCTGTCTTGGTCAATATGTTGATTAGGCCTGCAGTCATCCAAAGGCTTGACTGAGACTAGGGCATCCAATTTCAAGACGGCTCACTTAACATGGCTAGCAAGTCAATGCTGTCTGTTAGCAGGACACCTCTGTAATGTAATGCATTAAGCTCTGTAGGGTTGCTTGAATGTCCTTGCAGTATGGTAGCTACTTTCACCCAGGGTGAACAAGGTGGAAGCTGCCATGTGTTTTATAATCTAGCCTAGGAAATTTGAACTAGCTTTTTGATAACACAGGTTAGCCATATTTAATATGAGAGAGAACTGCACAAGGCATGGATAGCGGAAGTGAAAATCACTGGGGGCCATTTTGGAGGCTGGCTGCCACAGAGATTAGCAACTGGAATACTGTTTTCAAAGAAACAGCTTTGGCTTTTTATATTTTCTCTATTATGTCTTTGGTTTTTTTTTTTTTCATTGATTTCAGCTTTTATCCTTATTATTTCCATCATTTTAATTTCATTCAGCTTAATTTGCTGGGATTTTTGAGATGGATGCATAGATCATTGGAGTTTTTTCTTTTTCTTTTTTTTGAGACAGGGTCTTACTGTGTCACTCAGGCTATAGTGCAGTGATGAATCATAGCTCATAGCAGCCTTAAATTACTGAGCTCAAGTGATCCAATCCTCCCTCCTCAGCCTTCCAAGTAGCTGGGACCACAGGTGTGTGTCACCATGCCCAATTAATTTTTTTTTTTTTTTTTTTTTTTTTTTTTTTTTTTTTTTTTTTTTTTTTTGCTGTGACAGGTCTCACTATGTTGCCTGGGCTGGTATTGAAGTTCTGGCCTCAAGCAAACCTCCTGCCTTGGCCTTCCAAAATGTTGGGATTATACATGTGAGCCACCACACCTATCATATCAGTTTTTCAGTACTTTTTTTGTTTTGTTTTCAAATACATGTGTTTACGATTATAGATTCCCCCCACCCCAGATTTAGTCACATCCCACAAGTTTTCTACTTTTGTAAAATATTATTGAAGTATAATATACCTGAGAGAAAGTGTGCCATCTTAAAGGTACAAGTGGGTGAATTATCACAATGTAAATAAACCTCTGTAACTAGCACCAAGATAAAAAAAAACTAGTAGTTATTTAAACCTAGGTTTGATAATATTACCAATGACTTTAAAGTTCATGTCTGATAATTCTAATACCTGAAGCACTTGTGGGTTTGTTTCTTTTTTCTGTTTTTTATTTTGCTCATAGTTTTCAGTCACTTGATCATATATCCTGGCATTCCTGGTAACATATACATACTTCTCATTTTTAAAAATTGTACAGCTCTAGCATAAAGAGTCTTACAATGGGAACTTATCCCCCATCTATAACTTTTTTTACACTTTGTTTTCTTTTTACTCTTTCTAGACTTTATTATTTTACTTTTTGGATAAGTAATATAGTTACAAGTTTCTAAGATAAAAAATTATGAAAGAGTGTTAGTGAAAAGTCTCATTCTTGCAATGCCAGCACCCTCTTCCTGTCCTACAGGTAACCACCATGATTAATTTCTGGTATATCATTCCAGAGATAGTTTAATCCTCATATATACAAGCAAATTATGTATACTGCATTCCTGTGTCTGTTCTGTACTTTGCTTTTTTCACCTAACATTATATTTTGGTGAGTTTTCTGTTTAGTACATAATACATTTTCTCATATTTTAAACAACTGTATTCTGTTGTATGAATTTATCATAATGTATTGAATCATTCCACTGCTGATGGACATCCAGTTTGTTTCCAGACGTTTGCTATTGTGATAGGCTGAATAAAAGATGTCCACAGGCCGGGAGCGGTGGCTCAAGCCTGTAATCCCAGCACTTTGGGAGGCTGAGGTGGGCGGATCATGAGGTTAGGAGATTGAGACCATCCTGGCTAACACAGTGAAACGCCATCTCTACTAAAAACACAAAAAATTAGCCGGGTGTGGTGGCATGCGCCTGTAGTCCCAGCTACTTGTGAGGCTAAGGCAGGAGAATTACTTGAACCCGGGAGGCAGAGGTTGTAGTGAACAGAGATTGCACCACTGCACTCCAGCCTGGGTGACACAGTGAGACTGTCTTTCCAAAAAAAAAAAGATGTCCACATTCAAATCCCTGAATCTAGGAATATATTACTTTACATAGCCAAAGGGGCCTTGGGAGTAAGGATTGTGAGATGGGCAGAGGAGCGTGTATCATCCAGGTGGGCACAATGGAATCAATCACAAGCGTCCTTATAAGCGGGAAGAAGAAGCGTCAGACTCAGGCGATACGAAGATGGAAGTGGTGATTGCAGTGATATACGATCAAAAGCCAAGGTATGTGGAAAGCCGTCAGCAGAAGGAAGAGGCATGGAAACGGGCTCTCCCCTGGAGCCTCCAGAAGGAACCAGCCTTTGATTTTAGCTCCGCAAGACGCGTTTCAGACTTCTGACCTCCAGGCTTATAATAAGATAAGTTTCTGTTGTTTTAAGCTGCTACATTTGTGGTAACTGATTATAGCAGCAATAGGAAACTTAGAAGAGCTATTTTTACAATTATAAGCAAAGCTGCAAGAAACAATGTGTATCTGACATTTTGCATTTGGGCAAGTATATCTGCAAAATAAATGTCTAGATGTGGACTAGGTGGTTAGTTTTGATAATTGTTAAATCACTCTCCTCTAGACGGGTTATACCAGTTTATACTTCTAGCAGCAATGTGAGTGAATACCTCTTTCCCACAGCCTTCTCAACTCAGTGTGTTATCAAACTTAGAATTTTTACTGTTCTGCTAGTAAAAAGCCCTAATTTCTTTGGATAACTTACTAATTATTGAGTCTTCCTCATCTGCACAACATGGTTAGAAGCTCCTTCAGAGTTATGTCTGGGTCCTTATTTCTATTTTTTTCTACACTGCATACCTTTGTGTCCTTCCTGTTAACCTTACATAGGGCGGGCTCCCTGCACAGAAGGAGGAGACGATATACTCAACGGCATCTGTGCGTGATAGAGGGGAAAAAAATGCGATGTAGAATCCATTCTATCCATCTATCAAGTTCCGTTTAGGAAAACAAAATATCCTAATCACAATAATTGACTAGTGAAGACTGAAGAAGCGGTTGCCTAGCAATGCCCTGATCGTTTTTGATGTTGACTGGTTGACATAAGGCGGGATCAACAAACACACAGCACATGTGTGGCCCTGGCAGCTGATTCAGATCCTTCCCACTAAGGTCAACATTACCCAGGCTCTTGGAGGCAACCACTCCTCATTGATTATTTGCACATGAGATAAACCTGTTTGTTTTACCATACTGAAGGACTAACAGAATCACAAACTGTAACTCAAGTGCTTTTCCAATGAAGAGTGAAATAGGAAAGAACGAAAATAACATATATCTACCCCCTCCTCCTCTTCCTTTAGCTTGGGTTCATCATTATCTCCATTTCTCCATTTTATTTTTGTTTCCTTTTTATTGGCACCACCCAAGTATACTTGTGTGTGTGTGTGTGTGTGTGTGTGTGTGTGTGTGTGTGTTTGATATTAAAACTTTAGGGAAAGAAACAGCTCTCTTAAAAATGTCAGCAACTTCAATTCATTGCTTTTTAAATATCCTGGTTAATAATTTACACCTTTGGTTAAAATATTCAATCATCTACTTAATATATAGTGCTTAGCTTTGTTTTTATTTTATTTTTTGAGACAGTCTTGTTAGCTGTGTTGTCCAGGCTGGAGTGCAGTGGCCCAATCTTGGCTCACTGCAACCTCCACCTCCTGGGTTTAAGCAACTCTCATGCCTCAGCCTCCCGAGTAGCTGGGATTACAGGTGCCCACCACCACGCCCAGCTAATTGTGTTTTTAGTGGAGACGGGCTTTCACCATGTTAGCCAGGCAGGTCTCAAACTCCTGACCTCAAGTGATCCGCCCGTCTCGGCCTCCCAAAGTGTTGGGATTACACGCGTAAGCCATCGCGTCCAGCCTAGTGCTTAGCTTTAATGTGAATCAGTGTTAGCATACATATTCAGAATTCTTTCAACCTCAAACCACAAAACTTAATTATGTATCATGGAAATACAAATCAGAACAAAAATCTATTGACTGTGAGCCCACATAACGTAATTTTTGTTTCCTGAAAACAGAAGTATGCAAGTGGATGAGGCCTTTTAAGGGAACCTTGTGGCTTCTCAGTCCTTGCTGTTCTGAATTGGTGATTATCCACAGAAATGACCAACAGGTGATTGTAAAGATACTGGTAATTCTCCGCTCTTATCTGATTGCACCTACACTTTGCTTGTTGCTCATTCTGCATAACATCTAAATGCTGCGTGACACCTAAACCCTTTAGTAGTCGGCCAAAAGGAGGAACGAGGGCGTGTTTATGAAACAGACAGCTGTCGTGAGTCCTGGCGCTCAGCTTCATTCACTAATCAGTTGTCAGTTGGCAACTTGATTACAGATAACTTCAGTGTGAGTCAGGCTCGTTTGCCACAGCTGTTTCCCTTAAAAGTTCTCTGATAAGTCATTGCCACCACTACTTCCAAATAGCGTATGTTAACTTTGAGTTAATTTTAGATAACCTCGGGTTAATTTAAACAATTTTGGCACCAACAACATGTTTAGGCTAGGCAGCATGGATGGGTATAGGAATCCGTCAATCTGGGTTGCTGTGTACCAGCTCTGGGACTGGGGGCAAGTTGTAGCAGCCCTGAGCCTCCTGCTTCACCTGTATCAGGGGAGGCTGAGACCCACCTTGCAGGGGTCTTGTGAAGATTAAATGCAATGCTGTGTGAATGGTGCCTACCTTCGTGCCTGGTCTGTCAAGACCAGGCAGTTTACACAAAAACACTTGATATTGACTATGAAACAAGATCCAGAAGAGAACAAATATAAATACAGATGGATCAGCTAAATGAAGGACTGCCGAGTAAAAACACAAAGAGGATGTTTGTGAGTGGAGGGGGATGGATCTCCTTCTCCACCCAGCAGTGAATATCATGGGAATCTCTCTCTACCTGAATCTACCTCTTATAATTCTTAAATTAAGAACCATTAGAACTCTTCTAAGCTTTCTAAATACTCATTACAGTATGAAACCCTGCCCACCTCCCAGACAACTTCCTATGGACATTCGATTTTTTAAACATAGGATATGTTAAGTGATGGTCTTCATTCCTCGATGTCACATTTTAAATTTGTATTACTTTTTCTTCATTTTCCAAAGCTCCAGCTCAGCATCTTTGTATGCCTCTCATATATATATATATATATATTTTTTTTTAAAGTCTCAGTAGCCTTTTTAATGTGTCGATTTCTACACCCCAGCCTCAGGTAGTATAAGCTTCATGAGGACAGGAACCAGCCCTGCCTGCTCACACTGTCACCAGCATGTTCACAGGGCCGACACATGCCAGGCACTCAGGTATTAGTTGAATAGGTAAATGGAAGACTGGAAAATGTAGGCTGAACTGAGAACTTGTGGATAGACACACCTCAGTGATTTGTGAAAAGGAAGATTGGTCCAAAGCAATGTTTGTTAACCAAATTTTCATTATCAAAGAGGAAAAACTAAACATTCCCTAACAGAAATGAAAAAGGAATAAAATTTTTGTTAGATGATGTTGAGCTTTGAAATGCCACCAAGGACACTTTCAATATCAAATCTTCTCATCCACCCAACTCCAGAAAACTAGTTTTTGCTCAGGTACTGGCTCAGTGGAAAATGTGTGGTCTGAAGCTGTAGTCTCCTAGTTTGTGAGTCTCCTTATTTTCACTGCCTGAAGGTTTGAGTCACCGTGGAAGGGGAGGAGGGGTGGTGGAGATCAGAAGTGAGGTCTGTGAACTCTGGAGTTGACTTAGGTGCAGAGAGGATGAGGTAGAACTGCTGGCAGGGAGGCCCCATCTGATCCAAGAGTGAGCTCGGCAGGCAGAAAGCACTTGGCAAAGCCCAGGGAATGGTTGGGAGAGACTGATAGACCCAGCACTCCTATTCCTTGAGGCCGGTCAGTGATGTGTATTAACCTAGGGTGGCTCTAACTTTAATGTGTCAGTGAAAGGGATCCGGCTACAACTCCACACTCCTGAGGTGGGGCCCAGTGGAATGCATTTCTGTCAAAAATACTGTGAGGGAGCGCCAGGCTGCTCCTTCCACAGGCCATACTTTGAGAAGCATGGCATTAACTCACCTGTGCATGTTATATTTGTTAAAGGGTAACTTTTCAAAAACAGGAAAAACTATCACTCATATAGATATAAATGTTAAATATTTTATTAATGAAGTGAGCAGTGAGATGTTACAACCAGTTCAAAAGGGAACCCAAAGGGACGGACACATCTATTACTCAGAATATTGAAATAAACTGGAAATTGATGCATAAGTGGCTTTGCCACATGGAGAAGGATTGGCTTTCCAAGGCAGGTTGATTTGCATATTTATAAACAAGAATCATTTGCATTATCAGTTCTTTTCAACTTCACATACCATAAAACAGGTGAAAGGCTAGACTAGAAAACCTTAAAGGCGCTGGGTGCAGTGGCTCACTCCTGTTATCCCAGCACTTTGGGAGGTTGAGGTAGACAGATCTCTTGACCCCAGGAGTTCAAGACCAGCCTGAGCAACATAGACCCTCTCTCTACAAAAAAAGTTTCCAAAAATTAGCTGAGCATGATGGCATGAGCCTGTAGTCCCAGCTACTCAGGAGGCTGAGGTGGGAGAATCCCTTGAGCCAGGGAAGTGGAGGTTGCTGTGAGCCAGGATCATACCCTTGCATTCCAGTCTGGGTGATGGAGGGAGATCCTATCTCAAAAGTCTGAAGGAGTGTGATCTAAACAATGTAGTGTTTCCACTGAAGCACAGATGTTTTCCCTGTGATTTGTAGTGATTGGCATTTTTAAACTGCAGATTGCTGTCTATATTAACTTGACAGTTTGTAATAACTGCTTGAGATTAGCAGTTTGTCTTTCTTCAGTTAATTGTCATATTTAGCTCCTCTGTGTAATATGAGAAAGTAATGAGAATTTTTTTTTCTTTTTAGACGGAGTCTTGCTCTGTCACCAGGCTAGAGTGCAGTAGTGGTGCAATCTCAGCTCACTGCAACCTCTGCCTCCTGGCTTCAAGTTATTCTCCTGCCTCAGCCTCCCAAGTAGCTGGGACTACAGGTGCATGCCACCATGCCCAGCTAATTTTTGCATTTTTGGTAGAGATGGGTTTTACCATGTTGGCCAGGATGGTCTCGATCTCTTGACCTTGTGATCTGCCTGCCTTGGCCTCCCAAAGTGCTGGGATTACAGGCATGAGCCACCACACCCAGACATGAGAGCTCTTAAATAGAATTTCCATCTATAAAAAGTAGGTACTGTCAGTATTCCCCTCACATAGGTTTATGAAGAAGTCATTTTAAAAAGAGAACCCCTGTAATTGATCAAGGACCCCATCTGCCTTCTCTGTGGGCCTAGGATAAATTCTTTTGATTGTTTATGTCTATTTGGTGTAAAAAGATCTGTAGTTAAAATATACCATTGCATTATCCATAATAGCCAAAAGGTGGAAGCAAGCCAAGAGTCTATCTGCAAATGAATAAAAAAATATGGTATATATACACTATATGCAGTAGAATACTATTCAGGCTTACAGAGAAAGGCAATTCTGACACATGCTACACCATGGATGAACATGGAAGACATTATGCCACATGAAATAAACCAGTCACCAAAGAACAAGTATTTTATGTGATCAGCTTCTTGATAATCTCCAAAATAGCCACCTTAGCATATTGAATGTTTGAAGCTGAAGGAAACTCAGAAATGATAGGAAGGACACTCTGACCTTCTCACCCTCTTCTCTGATGCAGGTCACAAGGCCCTTGGGTGAGAGGTGCCGTCCCTGTCCCTGGAGGAAGGAGCATCTTTGTCTCTTAAGATAACGCTGAGAGGAATCTGAATGATAGTTCCTGCTGTTCCTCCCAGTTTACTACACTTAGCTCCTAACCCTTTTTGTCCTCTCGCAATTTTCTGCTTCTCTCCACTCTTTATCAAACTGTTAAAAATTATGGGAGGTCATTCTTTTGGGCTGAGCCCCTGCACTAGCCTTCAACAGATCAGACCAAACCAAAATGGAATTACTTATGCTAAATGCTGTGTCATCAAACTGAAACTTTAAGGAAGCAGATCCCCAAACAGACCAGTTTTTCCTGAAAACATGAGATTCCAGTCTACTTAAATCAGTGGAAGAAGGAAGTGCCCTCTGCTTTAACCATTAAAAAAAGTAACTGAAGTAGCTTGATGTTAACCAATCAGGTTTTTCTATTCTGTTTCCTTGTTGCTACCTCATAAAACCTGTGGTTCTGCTATTGCCCAGTGGGAACTCTCATTCTGTTTTGTAGAGTGGAAGGTGCCCAGATTCATGAATCATGAATAAAAGCCAATTAAATCTATAAATTTGTTGTAGTCCTCTGATAATATAAAACCTAATTTGTTGTAATTTAGTCTTTTGACAAACCTAATATACAAAGACATATGTTTAACTGTTTCTTCAGGTCTTTATTTCCTTACAAAGGCTCCTAGTTATATCAAGTTACTTCCAGAAAAGTCAATTTTTTCTGTGTCATATAAAACTTATGTTAAGTAAATGTGTATGCTTTTCTCTTGTTAATCTGTCTTTTGTTAAAAGATCCCCAGCCAAGAAATTAGAAGGGTGGAGGAAAAATATTTTTCCTCCCTTATATATGATTCCACTTATATGAGATATCTAGATCAGTAAAATTCATAGAAACAAAGTAGGATAGTCAGGCTCAGTGGCTCATTCCTGTAATCCCAACATCTTGGAAGGATAAGGCAGGAGGATCACTTCAGCCCAAGAGTTCAAGACCAGGCTAGACAACATAGGGAGACCTCATCTCTACTTTAAAAAGAAAAGTCAGGTGTGGTGGAACATACCTGTAGTCCCAACTACTGGGGAGGCTGAGGTGGGTTGGATCACTCGAATCTGGGAGTTCAAGCTTTCAGTGAACTATGATCATGCCACTGTACTCCAACCTGGGCGACAGAGAGACCCTGTCAGAAAAAAGAAAAAAAAAAAGGTAGTTTGGTGGTTGCCAGAGGCTGGGGTAGAGAGGCATGAGGGCTTATTGCTTACTGGGTACAGAGTTTCACTCGGGATGATGAAAATGTTCTGGAGATGGATGGTGGTGATGGTTGTACAACAACATGAATGCACTTAATGCCAATAACTGCACACTTAAGACTGGTTAAAATCGGGCTGGGCACGGTGGCTCACACCTGTAATCCCAGCACTTTGGGAGGCTGAGGCAGGAGAATCCTTGAACCTGGGAGGCAGAGTTTGCAGTGAGCCGAGATCGCGCCACTACTGCACTCCAGTCTGGTGACAGAGCAAGCCTCCATCTCAAAAAAAAAAATATATATATATATATATATATATATATATACTTTACTATGATAAAGACATTTTATAAACACCATTTACCATTTGATCACCTATTAAGCTAAAGGCTGCACATACATTTCACTAATCCTTAGAACAACTTTGTTCAGTAAAAATTATTCCTGGTTTACAGAGGAGAAAACTGAGGCTCAGAAAGGCTACTCATTTATTTGAAGTCTCACAGCCTTCATAATGTTATTCATGCACTCTTTATGCCCTAGATAGTTGGAGAAATTACAGGGGAGAATCTCAGAAATAACTAAAATAATTGAAGATGTAATCAAGAAACAAAAGTACAGTGTTTGAATAGAGACCAACTAAAGACAGCTGGGACTGGTTCAGTCTGCCTATAATTGAAAGGTAAATCACTAGGAAAGGGAAGGAGTCTCTGGGTTTCAAGATGAAATAGAAGTCATGAGAATTCTATAAATTTCAATTCAAGTTCACTGAAGAGAGCTAGGAGTCAGCTACTGTTTGCTGCAGATAATATTCAGTAAGGAGCTAACTGCTAATGCACTGGCCTGGGGAAGTGTTTAGTGTCAAATAGAAACCAACACTAGTAAAATACTTCCAGGAGGTAAGAATTTTTTTTTTCTTTTGAGACAGGGTCTTGCTCTGTCCCACAGGCTGGAATGCAGTGGCATGATCTTGGCTCACTGCAACCTCCACTTCCTGGGTTCAAGCAATTCTCCTGCCTCAGCCTCCCTAGTAGCTGGGATTACAGGCACACACCACGAAACCCGGCTGATTTTTGTATTTTTAGTAGAGTCGGGGTTTCACCATGCTTGCCAGGCTGGTCTTGAACTCTCGACCTCAGGTGTTCCTCCCCCCTTGCCCTCTCAAAATACTGGGATTACAGGTGTGAGCCACTGCCCCTGGCTGCTGCTCCTTTTTTTGTAATGGACATGGGAGTTCTTTAGGAATGAGGGAAATGATCGTTTCTTTGAATAAGGCAGAATACTAAAGACTAGCCAGCCCTCAGGCTCATGGTGGTTGCTGCTATTCTGTTGAACGTGAACCATAGCCTTTAGAAAGGAGCAAGTCTTTGTGGAAGACACAGGATTTGAAGTGCAACAAAGGGGTGGAAACCCAGCTGACCATGATACCTTCAAGTGAGTTTTTCCACTGAATTTGATTATTTTCTCATTTGGCACTTCTTTCTGGGTTTTTTAAGCAGCCCAAAAACTCTAGGATATTTTACTTTTGTAATTGTATTCTCTTGGGAATGCTCATTCCTGATTCCTCATTTCACCAAATAAGTGTGTAACCTTCTTGTTTCTGCCCATAATAATTCTGGAGTCTTTAAACAAAACGACTGTGACTTTTCATGATGAGTAGAAGATAGGTTTTACTCATGCTACAATCAATATTAATTCCTTACAGTTCAAAGACACTGAGGCCCTGTCTAATAATATAGAAGTTGAACTTGGACTTGGGAGATGACTCCTGCCTCTCGTACTCTCTGTGGCTCTGCTTTCTATTATTTTACTCATAAGCTTGTTTTGTCTCCTTGCTGAGAATTGTCAAACATGAAATGTAATTTCAGGTTATAGTGAAGAAAGATGACATAGGCAGAAGAAATTGGCAATCATTTGGCCTGTACATCTTGCTTTTTGTTTTTTTTCTGGATTTAAGATATAGACCACACCTTGACATTTCTGGCCTTTGAGTCTTTCACAACTGTTATTATAATGCATTAGCTCTTCTAGAAGTTAGAAGTGACTTTGGATTAAGTCTTTCATAAGGTGGCTAAATGAATTTATATGGCTCATCACAATTCACTAGATTGGTTAAGCAGGAAATTTACAGAGATTTTTTTCTTTGCTGTAAATGTTTTTCTAAATTGAAAAACTTCTAATACTGTCTTCTGGAGTAGTCCTAGAAATAAGTGCAAGTGATTGTTTTTGGCAGGAGGCCACATAAACATTTCTGCTTCTCTGTGCCTTATGGGTAGCATTGATATAAATTGTTAAAAATAATGATTGTAGATAGATAATGTGTCAGAGTTTGGGCTCAGCCGCGGTAGCTGCTGTTGACCCAGAGGGACCACTGGGATCCTCACATCTCAGGGCAGCACATCGTTTGCAGCAATGGTTGCTTCTATGCAACCTTTTATGAAATTAGGTGAGGCCCTTGCTTAGAATTTTTTAAAAGCTTAATATGAGTTTATATCTCTTTAAATATCAGTTTCTAATGTTTTTTTAAAGGCCTATGTTTACAACAAATTTGAGAGATACCTAGATGCACTACTAACTAGTGTTCTTTTGTGGTGCTTTAGAAATTCTGGCTTACTTGTATTTTTGCTGGCCTTCTAATGATTTCACTCATCAATCAGAAGATATTTGTGTCCACCTCCCTGTTTCCTCTCCGGTGATCTTGTCTATTCTTGGCCATTTTAGAGTTGACTTAGCAGCCTTCACAAAACTGATTGGAATTTCCACTGGGATTAAATTGATAGGTCATTTTTGGGAGACCTTTGCAATATTGAACTTTCCAATCCGTGAACTTTACTTATCTGCCCATTTATTATGTTTGTTTTTGGTAGATTACAAAATTATATGATCACTCCAAAAATTACCTTGCCCTTTATAGTAAAACCTTCCATTGTAAACTTCTGGCAATCACTGATCTGTGTTCCTCTAGCATTGCTTTTTTTTCAGAATTTTATACAAATGGAATCGTTCAGGATGTAGCCTTTTGAGTCTGGCTACTTTCATGTACTGCATCAACAGTTATTCCTTTTTATTGCCAAATAGTAATCCATTGTATAAATACTACATGGTTTGCTTATTGGTTTGTCATTGGAGGAATATGGACTATTTTCACTTTTTGGTAAATTATAAGTGGATTGGAATTCACAAAGTGCTTTTTGTCTGAGCATAGGTTTTCATTTCACTTGTGCAAATGCCTAAGGGTAGGATTGCCGAGTCACATGGTCCGTGTACGTTTGACTTTATCAGAACCTGCCAAATTGTCTTCCAAAGTGCTGTGCCACTTCTGTTTCTTTAATAAATACAGGGGTATTCAAGCTGTCTGTTTCTTCTTGAGTTTTGGTAGTCTGTCTTTCAAGGAATTGATCTATTTCACCTAATTTGTAGAATTTAGAAGCATATAGTTGTTTGTTTTGTTTTTGTAGTATCCATTATAGCCTTCTAGTGTCTACAGGATTTGTAATAATATTCCTTTCATTTCTGGTATTGGCAATTTGTGTTTTCTCTTCTTCCTTTGTCAGTCTGCTAGAGGCTTCCTCATTTGATTGATTTCCACCTCCCACCACCCCTGCAAAGAACCAACTTTGGATTTCGTTGAATTTTTTTCCTTTACTGTTTTTGTTTAAATATTACTGATTTAGTCTGTTTTTCTTATGCCTGATTTGAGTTTATTTGGTTCTTTTTTTACTTAAAGTAAATGCTTACATTATTGATTTGATGCTTCATTTCTCATAATTTAGTGCTATAAATTGCCCTGTAAGCACATATTTTGATAAGATGATGTCATATTTATTAAGTTCAAACTGTTTTCCAATTTGTCTTAAGATACTCTCTTTGACCTATGGGCCATTTAGAAGTACACCATTTAACTTCTCATATTTGGGAATGTTCTAGAAATGTTCTAGATTCCTAGTTTAATTCTGTCATCAGAGAAAATAATTCACTGAATTTTAATTGTTTAACTTCAGGGTTTGTTTTATGACTCAGAATATGATCTCTCACCACCGCCATCCAGATAATTCTTCAGGTTTTGACGTTTCCCAACCTGTCTGCTGGTTACTTTTCAGAGTTCTTAGGTCATTGCTATTTATATTTTGTCCAGAGTTTCAAATTGTGATCAGTGGAAATGACAGGCCATAGCATGCATACGCCATCCTGGCCAGCATCACAGGTGGTCAGTATATCTTTCTGTTGTTGTTTTGAGACAGGGTCTCACTCTGTTGCCCAGGCTGGAGCACAGTGGCATGATCAGGGATCACTGCATTCTCAACCTGCTAGGCTCAAGTGATCCTCCCACCTCAGCCTCCCGAATAGCTGGGTCTATAGGTGTGCTGCCATGCCCAGCTAATTTTTGTATTTTTTATAAAGACGGGATTTTGCCTTGTTGCCCAGGCTGGTCTCAAACTCCTGAGCTCAGGCCATCCTCTCACTCGGGCCTCCCAAACTACTAGGATTATAGGTATGACCACCACACCTGGCTAGTACATCTTAAAAATAATTTCTGATCCACGTTGAATAATGATGGCCTGCAAATATTTTTTCTTGCCCTTGCCTTATTGGGTTTTGATATCAAGGTTATTTTTATTTTAACCTTGTAAAATGAACTGGGGAGTCTTCTTTCTGTATTCTCTGTTTGTGTTAGTGGAAGAGTTTTTTTTTGTTTGTTTGGTTGGTTTGTTTCTCTTGTATGTTTCATGGAACTTTTTGGTGAAGGCACTTGGGCCTACAAATTTCTTTATGGGAAGATTTTCATGACTGATTCAATATATTTAATCTATGTAAGTTTTTTTTCTACTTTTGGAGTGAATTTTGATTTTTTTCCCTAGAAATTCATATCTCACCAAGTATGGTGGCTTATGCTTGTAATCCCAGCACTTTGGGAGGCTCAGGTGGGAGGACCACTTGACTACAGTAGTTCAAGACCAGCCTGGGCAATATAGTGAGACTCCATCTCTACAAAAAAAATAAAAATTAGCTTGGTGTGGTGGCGGGTGCCTGTAGTGTGAGCTACTTGGGATGCTGAGGTGGGAGGATCATTTGAGCCTGGAAGGTCGAGACTGCAGTGAGCTGTGATTGTGCCACTGCACTCCAGCCTGGGTGACAGAATGAGACGTTGTCTAAAAAAAAAAAAAAGATTTTTCATCTATGCTTTAAAGTCTGTTGGCATAAAGGTATTCATAATTTTACATTATGAAATTGTTTATTTGAGACAGGGTCTCACTCTGTTGCCCAGGCTGGAGTACAGTGGTTCAATAATGGCTCAGTGCAGCCTCCACCTCCCAGGCTCAAGCCACCATCTCTCTTCAGCCTCCCAAGTAGCTGGGACCACAGGCACGTGCCACCATGCCCAGCTAATTTTTGTATTTTTGGTAGAGACGGGGTTTTGCCATGTTGCCCAGCCTGGTCTCAAACTCCTGAACTTGAGCATTCCTCCCACTTCAGTCTCCCAAAGTGCTGGGATTACAGGTGTGAGCCATCGTTCTTGGCCTGCAAGTTATGACTTCCTTTCAGAGTCTTTCTATCTGTAGTACAGTCCTCCTGTGCAAGATTGTTGTTTGACTGCTTTTTCTTGACAAATCTTGCTAAAGGTCTGTGAATTTTATAATGTATTTTTAAAGAACCAGATTTTAGCAGGGCATGGTGGCTCATACCTGTAATCCCAGCACTTTGAGAGGAAAAGGTGGGAAGATCGCTTGAGCCTGTAAGGGGGAGGCTGTACTAAGCTGTGATTAAGCCACTACACTCCAGCCTGGGCAACAGAATGAGACCCTATCTGAAAACCAAAAGAACCACAAGTTTTAGCTTGGCTGATTCTATTGTGTGTTTCTTTTGTATTTCATTTGTTTGTTATGTTTTTCCTTTTTCTTTCTTTGAATTTAACTTGTTCTTTGTCTGATTTGTTGACTGATGCTCAGGTTTTTTTTTTTTTTTTTTTTTTTTTTGAGACGTAGTCTCACTCTTTCACCAGGCTGGAGTGCAGTGGCACAATCTCGGCTCAAGCAATTCTCCTGCCTCAGCCTCCCGAGTAGCTGGGACTACAGGTGTGTGCCACCACACCCAGCTAATTTTTGTATTTTTAGTAGAGATGGGGTTTTACCATGTTGGGCAGGATTGTCTCGATCACTTGACCTCATGATCCACCTGCCTCGGCCTCCCAAAGTGCTGGGATTACATGCTTGAGCCACTGTGCCCGGTCTGTTGATGTTTTTCCCAAGTTCCTTTTCTAATGTTCTCATTTAAGACTATAAATTTCCCCAGCCTGGACAACATGGTGAAACTTTATCTCTACCAAACACACAAAAAATTAGCCAGGTGTAGTGGTGTGAGCCTGTGGTCCCAGCTACTCAGGAGGCTGAGGTGGGAGGCTCACTTGAGCCCAGGAGGTGGAGGGTAGTAAGCCAAGATTGTGCTACTGCACTCTAGCCGGGGTGACAGAGTGAGACCCCATCTCAAAAAAAAAAAAAAAAAAGACTATCATTTTCCCCTTATGAATGGATTTAATTATATCCTACAGTTTTAAATATGTAGAATTGATGATGAATTTGCCTTATTTTATCTTCAAGCTATGGGCTATTTAAAAGTATACTTTTAGAAAGTTTCTAAAATTGTTACCAGAAATTATGATCTCTCCACTTTCTTTGAAATTTTTTACTTGTTTTAACACTCGTCTATATGGTTAATTTTTGAACGTGTCCACAGTTTCTTGAAGGGAAGTCTATTTCTGCAGTTAAATCTCATGTTCTGTATGTGTGCATTTAGTCTATTTTTTCATAATTTTAAATCTTCATCCTCCCTAATTATTTTTATACTTTATTTACTGAGAGATATATTAAATATCCTACTAGAAGCATGGATTTGTCTGTCTCCTCATCTGTCAACTTTTGCTTTTTGAGGCTGTACTTGGGTGCATATGATTCAAAAAATATACATCTTTTTTTTAATTTGAACTTTTATCAAAATGAAATGTTTTCCTTCATTTATGTATGCTTTCAACATTATGTATGATATAGCTATGGTAACTTTGGTTAAACTTTGCACTGTGTATCTTTCACGTGTGTGTGTGTGTGTGTGTGTATTTTTTTTTCCACTGTGCTGCCAAGGCTATAGTGCAGGGGCTGTTCACAGGCGTGACTGTGGCTCTCTGCTGCCTTAAACTCCTGGGCTCAAATGATCCTCCTACCTCAGTCTTTAGAGTGATGTGTGCCACCACTGCCAAATAATTGTTTTTATTTCTTTAGAGATAGAATTTGGCTATATTGCCCAGGCTGGTCTTGAGCTCTTGGTCTCAAGTGATCCTCTCACCTCTGCTTCCTGAGTCACTGGGATTACAGGCATGTGCCGCCAAGTCCAGCTCCTCTGATACATATTTTAATACCTTTTAAAATCATTCTATATCTTTGTATTTTAAATATGACTTATAAATAGCATGGAATGGGATTTTAACAATTTATCCATCTTTAATTGGATTACTTAGTCCATTTGCATGTATTTGTATTCTGACATACTTGGATTCTGTATAGATGGTGAGTGGTGTGTATGTACATGCATGTGTGTTTGTGTCATTTTGTCACTTTCTATTTATCCTACTTATGTTTCTTTTTTCCTTTCTTGCCTTCTTTTCAATTGGTGGGATTTTTTTCTTCTCTAGTCATTTTAAGTTAGTCTTTGTTTATATTCTTTTAGTAACTGTCATGCTAATTTAAATGTGCATATTTAAGTTATGAAAGTTGAAAATTTATCCTCCTCCTGGGTGATAGGATAACTTAAGAATACTTTCATTGCATTAAACTCCTCTTGAGTTATGCTACAACAGTATATTTTCAACTTTTTGTTTTGACATAATTGCAGATTCACAGGTGCTTTTAAGAAATAATATAAAGAAATCCAATATAGTCTTCACTCAGTTTCTCCCAATGGTAACGTCTTGCATAACTACCTTGTTCAGATTTCACCAGTTTTATGTGCACTTTTAGGTTTTTTTGTGTATTTAGTGCTATGAAATTTTATCGTGTACATAGATTAGATACCTAATCACCATCACCATCGTCAAGATATAGAAGAGTTCCATCAGAAGGATGGATCCCTTGTGCTACCCATTTTATAGTCACAAACACGTTCCTCACTCCCTGACCCCTGGCAACCACTAATGGGTTTTTCATCTCTGTAACTTTATTTCAAGAACACATGTAAATGAATCCATACAATGTCTAATATTTTGAGATTGAGTTTTTTTATTCAGCATAATTATCTTGTGACCCATCAAAGTTGTTTTGATATATTTTATCATTTTTCTTTTTATATTTCATGGGACATTACTTCTATTGTTTTATACATTTCACATTTGTTTAGTTTTATCCATATATTCACCTGTCTTTTTCCTGCTCTTCATTTCTTCTTATATCCCAGATCTTCCACTTGGGATCATTTTCCTCCTGTCTGAAATCTTTTAGTATCTGTTTAGTAATGATTTCCTTGGGCGAGCTCCCTCAATTTCTGCACATTTCAAGCTCTATTATGTTAGTCTCGTACTTAATTTTTTTTATTGTGGTATGAGAGGCATACAGGTAAGGAGATCATGAACGTACAACTCAAAATTTTCACATAGTTAACACCTAAGAAATGGATATGACCAGCAACCCAGAAGTCTCTCTTCTGTTTTCTTTTAGTTGCTGCTCTTACCTCCTCCCAAGACAGGGTGATCTGCCTGCCTTGGCCTCCCAAAGTGCTGGGATTACAGGCATGAGCCACCGCGCCTGGCCTAAAATGACCATCTTGTCTTTTGAGACAGAGTCTTGCTCTGTCACCCCAGCTGGAGTGCAGTGGCATGATCATGGCTCACTGCAGCCTCAATCTCCCTGGCTCAAGCGATCCTCCCACCTTAACCTCCTGAGTAGCTGGGACAGGAGGCACACATGCCACACCCAGCTCAATCTACTGGGCTCAAGCAAAAAGTATCTCCTATTCTGACTTTTTACACTATAGATTAGTTTTCCTATTATTCGCTTTATAAATGGGATCTTTTCTTTTGGCTGCTTTTCTCAGCTTTAGGCTTGTGAGCTCTATCCATGGTGTTGCACATGGCAGTGGTTTGTTTATTGTTGTGTGCATTCAGCTTTACTAATATTGCACAATATGTTTATCTGTTCTGCTGTTGGCTGACATTCAGGTTCTTCCAAGCTTGGGTCCATTATGAGTAATGCCATTATTAACTAACTTTCTTTCTTTCTTTCTTTCTTTCTTTCTTTCTTTCTTTCTTTCTTTCTTTCTTTCTTTCTTTCCTTCCTTCTTTCCTTCTTTCCTTCTTTCCTTCTTTCCTTCTTTCTTTCTTTTCTTTCTTTCTTTCTTTCTTTTCTTTCTTTCTTTTCTTTCTTTTCTTTCCTTTCTTTCTTTCTTTCTTTCTTTCTTTCTTTCTTTCTTTCTTTCTTTCTTTCTTTCTTTTTGGAGATGGAGTCTTGCTCTTGTCACCCAGGCTGGAGTGCAATGGCACAATCTCAGCTCACTGCAACCTCCACCTCCTGGGTTCAAGCAATTCTCCCTGCCTCGGCCTCCCAAGAAGCTGGGATTACAGGTGCCCACCACCACGCCTGGCTAATTTTTTTTTAGTAGAGACGGGGTTTTACCATGTTGGTCGGGCTGGTCTCGAACTCCTGACCTCAGGTGATCTGCCTGCCTCGGCCTCCCAAAGTGCTGGAATTGCAGGCATGAGCCACTGTTCCCGGCCCTGAACTTTCTTGTCCTTACCTTTTGGTGCACACCTGTGTACTTTAATTTGATCTCTGTCTGGGAGTGCAAGTGCTTTATAGAGCATGTGTACAGTTTTAGGAGATACTGCTAAAAATTTTGCAGTGGCTGTATCAGTTTACAATCTGCCAGCTGTTGATGAAGGTTCCAGTTGTTTCCCATCCTTCTGTTATAGGAAAGGTGTCCTGATCTAGACTCCAAGAGAGGGTTATTGGATCTGGTGCAAGAAAGAATTCAGGGCGAGTCCATAGAGTAAAGTGATAGCAAGTTTATTAAGAAAGTAGAAGAATAAAAGAATGGCTACTCTATAGACAGAGCAGCCCGAGGGCTGCTGGTTACCCATTCTTATGGTTATTTCTAGATAATATGTTAAACAAGGGGTGGATTATTTATGCCTCCTTTTTTTTTTTAAGACCATGTAGGGTAAATTTCTGATATTGCCATGGCATCTGTAAACTGTGGTGGCGCTAGTGGGAATGTAGCAGTGGGAGGACGACCAGAGGTCTACAGGTATTTTTGGTAATCATCTTGAGAAATAAAGACTTCATAAATCATCTTACAGTTATGATAATATATAACAACCATATTTCAACTGAATGCAAAGTTGTACCTTTTCATACCCCCACTGTGTTATTAATATCACATATTATCTTTTCTTATTGAGTAACTATGAACACACATTTATGCAGATTTATGCTTCATTTTTTAAACTCCATAGCAATATTTTGAAAATTTTGTGCACCATCATTATGACAATAGAGATTTCTATACCTGTTTATATATTTACCTTTAATATAGCACTTTCTATTTTCATATGCTGTTATGATGCTGTGCAGCATCATTTCATTTTTGTACTTGATAGACTTTCTTTTACATTTCCTTTACGACTGATCTAGTGGTTAGTAACACACTCAACTTTTATTTATTCTGGAAAGGCTTATTTTTTTTTTTTTATTTCTGAAGTGAAATTATTCCAGTTGAAGGTTTTTGTTTGGCAGTATATCTTCTTGTTTAATTACCTTGTCATCTGGGGATTTCTCAGCTACTTTTTAAAAATAATCTCTTTATTACTTTTCTGCTGTATTTTTTTTCTAAGACTCCATTTATAAATACAATGGTCTACTTGATGGTGTGCAGTACGTCCCATATTTTTTTCTCTATTCTGTTTAAATAATTTGTTTTCATGACTCAGTATTTATAACTACAGTATCATCAACTAGTTATTGTGTTGTTCAGATTCACAGTTTTTGTTGGTTTTTAAAAATCTTTTTATTGATATCTCATTTTCTTTATGTATCACTTCTAATATTATTTTGTTGTCTATGCTCTGTTTTTGTTAATTACGTAGTTTTTTTCTAATTACATTTTATTGAAAACTGCACTGAATGCTAAATGTCCATCTTTACAATAAACAACTACAGTAACGTTAACTCGCACTAAAACAAAGGATACTTCTGATAGCCATTATTTTTCTGTTTGTGACAATTTTAAAGTTTTTCTTTTGTCACAAAAACAGGAAGGTACCTAACCAAACGATCAAAATAGGCCATTTTTTAAACAAAAAGGCAATGATTCACAAAAGACTATGAACAGAACATGTAACTAATCGATGCAAATCAAATAGGATTTGTTAAAATCAGTCACATCCAATACATCTGAAGTGTTCTTGTATAAAATACAACGTGAAGAAAAGAAGACTTTATCAGTGTCTTAAAAAGTGGATTTGTTCATAGACAATCTGACAAGTTACCACTAAAAGTGTTTCTTGTGACAGAAAAAGCAACATTATTTTTCTTGAGTCTTTTTAGTGCAAGACTTTCCACTCAATAAAATAGCAGAGCATCTGAAACTGAGAAAATATTTTTGATTACAAACAGCTTGTGAAACTTAATACTGTTTTTTTTTTTTTTGCATTATCGGAGGCTTTTTCTGAACTTACAACCAACTTGCCCACTCAGCATGCAGTTCAGATGTGAGAGACGCTTCTCTGTACAGGAGCCGGTACTGTCTTCAATCCTATGCGTGCAGGTGTCTACCACAGGCAAATAGTTTACTCCACATTTTCTAATAATGTGATCTTCCTATTAGCAAAAAGCTGTAACCAGTCCCTGTAGACTGAAGGGACTCAAGTGACAAGATGGGGATTTCCTCCTCATGGTTTTTATTTTGATGTTTGAAGTCCTGATGCAACATTCTGAGCAGGGTGTTCCTGACCTGCTGTGCCCAAGGGACTGATAAAGGAAAAAGTTCTATTTATTCTTTGTGATTTGACGCACAGATGAAAAACTTAACACACAATAACGGAAGCTGGTCGTTAATAAATCACACCCTAGTCTTTCAGAGCTTCCGTAAACAGACAACATCTTCAACTTTCTAACGCTTGTAGTTTTAACACTGCAACATCAATAATGCATATGTCCAGAATCAGCTAAAAAGAGCGTCAGATTCTTTTTCTCTTAGTTCATCTATTTTTCACTGTCCTTGTTCCCAAGTGTATCAAAATGATTACCTTCCGGCATTCACTACTATTTCTCGTTGGGTTGCTCTCGATTGTCCCCGTGATTGTGGGCTGGTTGGGAGAGGGCGCTTGGGAAGTATGTGCCACTGTCGGGAGGTTGTGAGTCACTGGGATGCCTCCAGGGATGATCCCTTCCATGGACGCAGGAAGTCCTCCTGGAGCCACGCCCACGATGACTGGATGAATTGCTTGCTGGTCTATTACTGACCAAAGCACAGATGTGACAAAGAATTCCTTGTTCACACAGTTTCTTTTTTTTTATTTTTATTATTATTATACTTTAAGTTTTAGGGTACATGTGTACAACGTGAAGGTTTGTTACATATGTATACATGTGCCATGTTGGTGTGTTGCTCCCATTAACTCGTCATTTAGCATTAGGCATATCTCCTAATGCTATCCCTCCCCTCTCCCCCCACCCCACAACAGTCTCCGGTGTGTGATGTTCCCCTTCCTGTGTCCATGTTTCTCATTGTTCAATTCCCACCTATGAGTGAGAACATGCAGTGTTTGTTTTTTTGTCCTTGCGATAGTTTGCTGAGAATGAGGGTTTCCATCTTCATCCATGTCCCTACAAAGGACAGGAACGCATCCTTTTTTATCGCCACATAGTATTCCATGGTGTATTTGTGCCACATTTTCTTAATCCAGTCTATCGTCGTTGGACGTATAGGTTGGTTCCAAGTCTTTGCTATTGTGAATAGTGCAGCAATAAACATATGTGTGTATGTGTCTTTATAGCAGTATGATTTATAATCCCTTGGGTACATACCTAGTAATGGGATGGCTGGGTCAAATGGTATTTCTAGTTCTAGATCCCTAAGGAATCGCCACAGTGACTTCCACAATGGTTGAAGTAGTTTACAGTCCCAACAGTGTAAAAGTGTTCCTATTTCTCTACATCCTCCCCAGCACCTGTTGTTTCCTGACTTTTTAATGAACGCCATTGTAAATGGTGTGAGATGGTGTCTCACTGTGGTTTTGATTTGCAATTGTCTGATGGCCAGTGATGATGAGCATTTTTTCATGTGGGTTTTGGCTGCATAAATGTCGTCTTTTGAGAAGTGTCTGTTCATATCCTTGGCCCACTTTTTGATGGTGTTGGTTGTTTGTTTTTTTCTTGTAAATTTTTTTGAGTTCATTATAGATTCTGGATATTTGCCCTTTGTTAGATGAGTAGGTTGCAAAAATTTTCTCCCATTCTGTTGGTTGCCTGTTCACTCTGATGGTAGTTTCTTTTGCTGTGCAGAAGCTCTTTAGTTTAATTAGATCCCATTTGTCAATTTTGTCTTTTGCTGCCATTGCTTTTGGTGTCTTAGACATGAGGTCCTTGCCCAAGCCTATGTCCTGAATGGTATTGCCTAGGTTTTTTTTCTGTGTTTTTTATGGTTTTAGGTCTAACATTTAAGTCTTTAATCCATCTTGAATTAATTTTTGTAAAAGGTGTAAGGAAGGGATCCAGTTTCAGCTTTCTCCATATGGCTAGCCAGTTTTCCCAGCACCATTTATTAAATAGGGAATCCTTTCCCCATTGCTTGTTTTTCTCAGGTTTGTCAAAGATCAGATAGTTGTAGATATGTGGCATTATTTCTGAGGGCTGTGTTTTGTTCCATTGGTCTATATCTCTGATTTGGTACCAGCACCATGCTGTTTTGGTTACTGTAGCCTTGCAGTATAGTTTGAAGTCAGGTAGTGTGATGCCTCCAGCTTTGTTCTTTTGGCTTAGGATTGACTTGGAGATGAAGGCTATTTTTTGGTTCCATATGAACTTGAAAGTAGTTTTTTCCAATTCTGTGAAGAAAGTCATTGGTAGCTTGATGGGGATGGCATTGAATCTATAAATTACCTTGGGCAGTTTGGCCATTTTCACAATATTGGTTCTTCCTACCCATGAGCATGGAATGTTATTCCATTTGTTTGTATCCTCTTGTATTTCATTGAGCAGTGGTTTGTAGTTCTCCTTGAAGAAGTCCTTCACATCCCTTGTAAGTTGGATTTCTAGGTATTTTACTCTCTTTGAAGGAATTGTGAATGAGAGTTCACTCATGATTTGGCTCTCTGTTTGTCTGTTATTGGTGTATAAGAATGCTTGTGATTTTTGCACATTGATTTTGTATCCTGAGACTTAGCTGAAGTTGCTTATCAGCTTGAGAAGATATTGGGCTGAGACAGTGGGGTTTTCTAGATATACAATCATGTCATCTGCAAACAGGGACAATTTGACTTCCTCTTTTCCTAATTGAATACTCTTTACTTCCTTCTCCTGCCTAATTGCCCTGGCCAGAACTTCCAACACTATGTTGAATAGGAGTGGTGAGAGAGGGCAACCCTGTCTTGTGCCCATTTTCAAAGGGAATGCTTCCAGTTTTTTCCCATTTAGTATGATATTGGCTGTGGGTTTGTCATAGATAGCTCTTATTATTTTGAGATAGGTCACATCAATACCTAATTTATTGAGAGTTTTTAGCATGAAGTGTTGTTGAATTTCGTCAAAGGTCTTTTCTGCATCTATTGAGATAATCATGTGGTTTTTGTCATTGGTTCTGTTTATATGCTGGATTACGTTTATTGATTTGTGTATGTTGAACCAGCCTTGCATCCCAGGGATGAAGCCCACTTGATCATGGTGGATAAGCTTTTTGATGTTCTGCTGGATTGGGTTTACCAGAATTTTTAATGAGGATTTTTGCATCAATGTTCATCAAGGATATTGGTCTAAAATTCTCTTTTTAGATTGTGTCTCTGCCAGGCTTTGGTATCAGGATGATGCTGGCCTCATGAGTTAGGGAGGATTTCCTCTTTTTTCTGTTGATTAGAATAATTTCAGAAGGAATGGTACCACCTTCTCTATGTACCTCTGGTAGAATTCGGCTGTGAATCCATCTGGTCCTGGACTCTTTTTGGTTGGTAAGCTATTGATTATTGCCACAATTTCAGCTCCTGTTATTGGTCTATTCAGAGATTCTTCTTCTTCCTGGTTTTGTCTTGGGAGGATGTATGTGTCGAGGAATTTATCCATTTCTTCTAGATTTTCTAGTTTATTTGTGTAGAGGTGTTTATAGTATTTTCTGATGGTAGTTTGTATTTCTGTGGGCTCGGTGGTGATATCCTTTTTGTCATTTTTTATTGCATCTATTTGATTCTTCTCTCTTTCTTTTTTGTTAGTCTTGGTAGCAGTCTATCAATTTTGTTGATCTTTTCAAAAAAACCAATCTCTGGATTCATTAATTTTTTGAAGTGTTTTTTATGTCTCTATTCCCTTCAGTTCTGCTCTGATCTTAGTTATTCCTTGCCTTCTGCTAGCTTTTCAATGTGTTTGCTCTTGCTTTTCTAGCTCTTTTAATTGTGATGTTAGGGTGTCAATTTTAGATCTTTCCTGCTTTCTCTTGTGGGCATTTAGTGGTATAAATTTCCCTCTACACACTGCTTTGAATGTGTCCCAGAGATACTGGTATGTTGTGTCTTTGTTCTCATTGGTTTCAAAGAACATCTTTATCTCTGCCTTCATTTCATGATTTACCCAGTAGTCATTCAGGAGCAGGTTGTTCAGTTTCCATGGAGTTGAGTGGTTTTCAGTGAGTTTCTTAATCCTAAGTTCTAGTTTGATTGCACTGTGTTATGAGAGACAGTTTGTTGTAATTTCTGTTCTTTTACGTTTGCTGAGGAGTGCTTTACTTTGAACTATGTGGTCAATTTTGGAGTAGGTGTGGTGTGCTGAAAAGAATGCATATTCTGTTGATTTGGGGTGGAGAGTTCTGTAGATGTCTATTAGGTTCGCTTGGTGCATGGCTGAGTTCAATTCCTGGGTATCCTTGTTAACTTTCTGTGTTGTTGATCTGTCTAATGTTGACATTAATCTGCCCTGTAGGCAGATCCTAGACAAGAGTTGCATCACCTGTGTGATCAGTGCAGAGATATTTCACAATGCCTCCTGTAGGCAGAGGGTAGACAAGTGTTACATCAGCTAGGTGATCATTGCAGAGATATTTCACAATACCCACTGTAGGCAAATCCTAGACAAGAGTTGCCTCACCTGGGTGATCAGTGCAGACATATTTCACAATGCCCCCTGTAGGCAGAGGGTAGACAAGAGTTACATCACCTAGATGATCCGGGCAGAGATTTGTCAAAATTCCCTGTAGGTAGAGATTATAAAAGTGTTACATCACCCAGGTGATCAGTGCAGAGATATGTCATAGGCACCTGTAGGCAGAGCTTAGATGAGTTACATCACCTGGGTGATCCGTGTAAAGATATGTCACAAAGCCCACTGTAGGCAAAGCCTAGACAATAGTTACATCAGTTGGGTGATCAGTGGACAGATCTCTCACAATTCCCCTGTAGGCAGAGCTTATACAACAGTTACATCACCTGGGTGATCAGTGCAGAGATATGTCACAAAGCCCCCATAGGCAGACGCAAGACAAGAGTCCATCACCTGGGTGCTCAGGGCAGAAACACGTCACAATGTCCCCATAGGCAGAGCCTAGAAAAAAGCCACATCACCTGGATAATCAGTGCAGAGTTATGTCACAAAGTCCCTTTAGGCAGATCCTAGACAAGTGTTACATCACCTGGTTGATCAGGGCAGAGATATGTCACAATGCCACTGTAGGCAGAGCCTAGACAAGAGTTACATGACCTAGGTGATCAGTGCAGAGATACATCGCAATGCCCCTGTAGGCAGAGCCTTGACAAGTGGTATATCACCTGGGTGACCATTGCAGGGATATATCAAAAAGCACCCTGTAGGCAGATCCTAGACAAGAGTTACATCACTCGGGTGATCAGGGCAGAGATATGTCACAGTGCCATGTAGCGAGAACCTAGACAAAATTTCATCACCTGGGAGATCAGTGCAGAGATATGTCACAATATCCCCAGTAGGCAGAGCCCAGACAAGAGTTGGATCACCTCGGGATCAGTACAGAGATATGTCTCAATCCCCCTGTGGGGACAGCCTAGACAAGAGTTACATCACCTCGGTTAACAGTGCAGATATATCTCAAAATGTTCCTGTAGGCAGAGCCTACACAAGTGTTACATCACTTAGGTGATCAGTGCAGAGATATGTCACAATACCCCCTGTAGGCAGAGCCTAGACAAGAGTTACATCACCTGAGTGATCAGTGCAGAGATATGTCACAATGCCCCCTATAGGCAGAGCCTAGACAAAAGTTACATCACCTGGGTGATCAGTGCAGTGTTACATCAAAATTCCTCTGTAGGCAGAGCCTAGACAAGAGTTACATCATCTATGTGATCAGTGCAGTGATATGTCACAAAAATCCCTGTGGACAGAGCCTAGACAAGAGTTACATCACCTGAGTGATCAGTGCAGATATTTCACACAATGCCCCCATAGACAGAACCTAGACAAGAATTCCATCACCTGGGTTATCAGTGCAGAGACTATGTCACGAATCCACCTCTAGGCAGAGTATAGAAAATAGTCCCATCACCTGAGTGATCAGTGCAAAGATATGTCACAATAACCCCTGTAGGCAGAGCCCAGACAAGAGTTACATCACCTGGGTGATCAGAGCAGAGATATGTCACAATGTCCCTGTAGGCAGAGCCCAGACAAGAGTTGCATCACCTCGGTGATCAGTGCAGAGGTATGTCTCAATGCCTCCTGTAGGCAAAGCCCAGACAAGAGTTACATCATCTCGTTGATCAGTGCAGAGATATGTCAAAATGCCCCTGTGAGCAGAGCCTAGAAAAAATTTACATCACCTGGGTGATCAGTGCTCAGACAAGTCACAATGTCCATGTAAGCAGAGTCTAGACAAGTGTTACATCACCTGGGTGATCATTGCAGAGTGATGTCACAATGCCCTCTGTAGGTAGATACTAGACAAGAGTTACCTCACCTGAGAGATCAGTGCGGAGATGTGTCACAACGCACTCTGTAGGCAAACAATAGTCAAGAGTTACATCACATATGTGATCAGCGCAGATATATGTCACTATGTTCCTGTGGCCACGCATAGAAAAGAGTTACAACATCTGGGTGATCAATGCAGAGATATGTCACGATGTCTCCAGTAGGCAGAGCGTAGACATGAGTTACATCACCTCGGTGATCAGTGCAGAGATACCTCAAAATACCCCCTGTAGGCAAAGTCTAGACAAGAGTTACATCAACTGGGAGATCAGTGCAGAGATATGTCAAAAATCCCACTGTAGGCAAAGCCTAGACAAGTTTTAAATAACCTCAGTGATCAGTGCAGAGAAGTGTCCCAGGACCCATGTAGTCAGAGCTTAGACAAATGTCACATCTCCGGATTGATCATTGCAGAGATACGTCACAATGCCCCCATAGGCAGAGCCTGGACAAGAGTTACATCACCTAGTTGATCAGTGCAGAGATATGTCACAAAGTCCCCTGTAGGCAGAGCCCAGAGAAGAGTTACATCACCTGGGTGATCAGTGCAGAGATATGTCACAAAGTCCCCTGTGGCAAAGCCTAGGCAAGAGTTACATCACCTTTCTCGTCAGTTCAGAGATACATCAAAATGCCTCTGTAGGTAGAGCCTAGACAAGAGTTACATCACCTAGTTGATCAGTGCAGAGATATTTCACAATACCCCCTTTAGGCAGTTCCTAGAGAAGAGTTGCATCACCTGGGTGATCAGTGCAGAGATATATCAAAATGCCCCCTGTAGGCAGAGCCTAAACAAGAGTTACATCACCTAGGTGATCAGTGCAGAGATTTGTCAAAATTCCCTGTAGGCAGAGCTTATAAAACTGTTACATCACCTAGGTGATCAGTGCAGAGATATGTCACAAAGCCCCCTGTAGGCAGAGCCTAGACGAGAATTCCCACCCCGGGAGTGATCAGTGCAGAGATATATCACAAGGCCCCTGTAGGCAGAGCTTAGATGAGTTACATCACCTGGGTGATCAGTGAACAGATATGTCACAAAGCCCCGTGTAGGAAAAGCCAAGACAATAGTTAAATCACTTGGGCGATCAGTGGAGAGATCTCTCACAACTCACAAGTAGGCAGAGCTTATACAACAGTTACATCACCTCGGTGATCAGTGCAGAGATATGTCATAATGCCCCCATAGGCAGATGCAAGACAAGAGTCCGTCACCTGGGTGATCAGAGCAGAAATACGTCACAATGCCCCCGTAGGCAGAGCCTAGACAAAAGCCCCATCACCTGGATGATGAGGGCAGAGTTACGTCACAAAGACCCTTTAGGCAGATCCTAGACAAGAGTTAAATCAGTTGGGTGATCAGAGCAGAGATATGTCGCAATGCCACTGTAGGCAGAGCCTAGGCAAGAGTTACATGACCCAGGTGATCAGTGCAGAGATACATAACAATGCTCCTGTAGGCAGAGCCTTGACAAGTGGTACATCACCTGGGTGATAATTGCAGGCATATGTCACAAAGCACCCTGTAGGCAGATCCTAGACAAGAGTTACATAACCTGGGTGATCAGTGCAGGGATATGTCACAATGCCAGTGTAGGCAGAGTCTAGACAAGAGTTACATGACCTAGGTGATCAGTGCAGAGATACATCGCAATGCCTCTGTAGGCAGAGCCTTGACAGATGGTACATCACCTGGGTGAGCAGTGCAGAGATATGTCACAAGGTCCCTGTAGGCAGAGCCTAGACAAGAGTTATATCACCTGGGTGATAAGTGCAGTGATATGTCACAATGCCGTGTAGCCAGAGCCTAGACAAAAGTTTCATCACCTGGGAGATCAGTGCAGAGATATGTCACAATGTCCCCAGTAGGCAGAGCCCAGAAAAGAGTTGGATCACCTCGGGATCAGTGCAGAGATACGTCTCAATCCCCATGTGGGAACAGCGTAGACAAGAGTTAAATCACCTTGCTTATCAGGGCAGAGTATGTCAAAATGCCAGTGTAGGCAGAGCCTACTCAAGTGTTACATCACTTAGGTGATCAGTGCAGAGATATGTCAAAATACCCCCTGTAAGCAGAGCCTAGACAAGAGTTTCATGACCTAGGTGATCAGTGAAGAGATACACAGCAAAGCCCCTTTAGGCAGAGCCTTGACAAGTGGTATATCACCTGGGTGACCATTGTAGGGATATGTCACAAAGCACCCTGTAGGCAGATCCCAGACAAGGGTTACATCACCTGGTTGATCAGTAAAGATATATTTCAAAATGCAACTGCAGGCAGAGCGTAAGCAAGAGTCCCATCACCAGGGTGATCAGTGCGGAAATATGTTGCAATGCCCCCATAGGCAGACCCAACATAAGAGTTACATCACCTGGGTGATCAGTGTAGAGATATGTCACAATGCCCCCATAGGCAGAGCCTAGACAAAAGTCCCATCACCTGGGTGATCAGTGCAGAGATATGTCACGAAGCCCCTGTAGGCAGAGCTGAGACAAAAGTTACATCACCGGGATGATCAATACATAGTGATGTCACAAAGGACCTTGTAGGCAGAGCCTAGAGAAGAGTTGCATTACCTGGGTGATCAGTGCAGAGATATGTCACAATACCCCCTTGAGGCAGAGCCTAGACAAGAGTTATATCACCTGGGTGATCAGGGCAGATAGGTCACAAGCACCCTGTAGGCAGAGCCCAGACTAGAGTTGCATCATCTCGGTGATCAGTGCAGAGATATGTCTCAATGCCTCCTGTCGGCAAAGCCCAGAGAAGAGTTACATCTTCTCCGTGACCAGTGCAGAGATATGTCAAAATGCACCTGTGGGCAGAGCCCAGACAAAATTTACATCACCTGGGTGATCAGTGCAGAGACATGTCACAATGTCCATGTAGGCAGAGCCTAGACAAGGGTTACATCACCTGGGTGATCATTGCAGAGTGATGTCACAACGCCCTCTGTAGGCAGATACTAGACAAGAGTTACCTCACCTGAGAGATCAGTGCAGAGATATGTCACAACGCCCTCTGTAGTCAAAGACTAGAAAAGAGTTACATCACCTGTGTGATCAGTGCAGATATATGTCACTATGTCCCTGTTGCCAGAGCCTAGACAAGAGTTCCATCACCTGGGTGATCAGTGCAGAGATAAGTCACAATGTCTATCACAATGTCTCCAGTAGGCAGAGCCTAGACAAGAGTTACATCACCTGGGTGATCACGTCAGAGATATGTCACAATGCCCCCTGTGGGCAGATCCCAGACAAGAGTTGCATCACCTCGGTGATCAGTGCAGTGATATATTAAAATGCCCCTGTAGGCAGAGCCTAGACAGGAGTTACATCACCTGGGTGATCAGTGCAGAGATATGTCACGATGTCCCCTGTAGGCAGAGCCTAGGCAAGAGTTACATCACCTTTGCCATCAGTTCAGAGATATGTTAAAATGCCCCTTTAGGCAGATCCTAGACAAGACTTGCATCACCTGGGTGATCAGTGCAGAGATTTTTCACATTGCCCCCTGTAGGCAGAGGGTAGAAAAAAGTTACATCACCTAGGTGATCAGTGCTGAGATATTTCACAATACCCACTGTAGGCAGATCCTAGACAAGACTTGCATCACCGGGGTGATCAGTGCAGAGATTTTTCACATTGCCCCCTGTAGGCAGCGCGTAGAGAACTGTTAAATGACCTAGGTGATCAGTGCAGAGATTTGTCAAAATTCCCTGTAGGCAGAGCTTATAAAAGTGTTACATCACCTACGTGATCAGTGCAGAGATATATGTCACAAAGCTCCCTGTGGGCAGAGCCTAGCCAAGAATTCTCTCTCCAGGAGTGATAAGTGCAGAGATATGTCACAAAGCCCCTGTAGGCAGAGCTTAAATGAGTTACATCACCTGGGTGGTGAGTGCAAAGTTATGTCACAAAGCCCCCTGTAGGCTAAGCCTAGGCAATAGTTACATTACTTGGGGGATGAGTAAAGACATCTCTCACAATTCCCCTGTAGGTAGAGCTTATACAACAGTTACACCACCTGGGTGATCAGTGCTGAGATATGTCACAATGCCCCCATAGGCAGATGCAAGACAAGAGTCCGTCACCTGGGTGATCAGTGCAGAAATAAGTCAGAATGCCCCCGTAGGAAGAGCCTAGACAAAAACCCCATCACCTGGATGATCAGTGCAGGGTTCTGTCACAAAGTCCATTTAGGCAGATCCCAGACAAGAGTTATATCACCTGGGTGATCAGTGCAGAGATATGTCACAATGCCACTGCAGGCAGAGCCTAGACAAGAGTCACATGACCTAGGTGATCAGTGCAGAGATACATCGCAATGCCCCTTTAAGGAGAGCCTTGACAAATGGTACATCACCTGGATGATCATTGCAGGGATATGTCACAAAGCAGCCTGTAGGCAGATCCTAGACAATAGTTATATCACCTGGGTGATCAGTGCAGAGATATGTCACAATGCCACTGTAGGCAGAGCCCAGACAAGAGTTATATCACATGGGTGATCAGTGCAGAGATATGTCACAATGCCACTATAGGCAGAGCCTAGACAAGAGTTATATCACATGGGTGATCAGTGCAGTGATATGTCACAATGACGCGTGGCCAGAGCCTAGGCAAAGGTTACATCACCGGGGAGATCACTGCAGAGATATGTCACAATGCACTCTGTAGGCAAAACCTAGAGAAGAGTTGCATCACCTGGGTGATCAGTGCAGAGATATGTTACAATGCACCCTGTAAGCAATGCCTAGACAAGAGTTGCATCACCTCGGTGATCAGTGTAGAGATATGTCTCAATTAGTCCTGTCGGCAAAGCCCAGAGAAGAGTTACATCATCTCGGTGATCAGTGCAGAGATATGTCAAAATGCCCCTGTGAGCAGAGCCTAGACAAAATTTACATCACCTGGGTGATCAGTGCAGAGACATGTTACAATGTCCATGTAGGTAGAGCCCAGACAATGGTTACATCACCTGGGTGATCATTGCAGAGTGATGTCACAACGCCCTCTGTAGGCAGAGACTAGACAAGAGTAACCTCACCTGAGAGATCAGTGCAGAGATATGTCACAACGCCCTCTGTAGGCAAAGACTAGGGAAGAGTTACATTACCTGTGTGATCAGTGCAGATATATGTCACTATGTCCCTGTGGCCAGAGCCTAGACAAGAGATACATCACCTGGGTGATCAGTGCAGAGATAAGTCACAATGTCTCCAGCAGGCAGAGCCTAGACAAGAGTTACATCACCTGGGTGATCAGGTCAGAGATATGTCACAATGCCACCCGTAGGCAGATCCCAGACAAGAGTTGCATCACCTCGATGATCAGTGCAGTGATAAGTTAAAATGCCCCTGTTCGCAGAGCCTAGACAAGAATTATATCACCTGGGTGATCAGTGCAGAGATCTCACAATACCCCTGTAAGCAGAGCTTAGGCAAGAATTACATCAACTGGGAGATCAGTGCAGAGATATGTCATAAATCCTACTGTAGGCAAAACCTAGACAAGTGTTACATCACCTCAGTGATCAGTGTAGAGATATGTCCCAATGCCCCTGTAGGCAGAGCTTAGACAAGAGTTACATCACCTGGGTGATCAGTGCAGAGATAAGTCACAATGCTCCCATAAGCAGAGCCCAGACAAGAGTTACATAACCCGGGTGATATGTGCAGAGTGATGTCACAACACCGTCCGTAGGCATAGACTAGAAAAGAGTTACATCACCTGGGTGATCCGTGCAGAGATATGTCACAATGTCCCCTGTAGGCAAAGCCTAGGCAAGAGTTACATCACCTTTCTCATCAGTTCAGAGATATGTCAAAACGCCCCTGTAGGCAGAGCCTAGAAAAGAGTTACATCACCTAGTTGATCGGTGCAGAGATATTTCACAATACCCCCTGTAGGCAGATCCTAGACAAGAGTTGCATCACTTGGGTTATCAGTGCAGAGATATTTCACAATGCCCCCTGTAGGCAGAGGGTAGACAAGAGTTACATCACCTAGGTGATCAGTACAGAGATTTGTCAAAATTCCCTGTAGGCAGAGCTTATAAGTTTTATATCACCTAGGTGATCAGTGCAGAGATCTCTCACAAAGGCCCCTGTAGGCAGAGCCTAGACAAGAATTCTCTCCACGGGGTGATCAGTGCAGAGATATGTCACAATGCCACTGTTGGCAGAGCCTAGATAAGAGTTACATGACTTAGGTGATCAGTGCAGATACATCGCAATGCCCCTGTAGGCAGAGCCTTGACAAGTGGTACATCATCTGGGTGATCATTGCAGGGATATGTCACAAAGCACCCTGTAGGCAGATCCTAGACAAGAGTTACATCACCTGGGTGAGCAGTGCAGAGGTATGTCACAAGCCTCCTGTAGGCAGAGCCTAGACAAGAGTTATATCACCTGGGTGATAAGTGCAGTGATATGTCACAATGCCGTGTAGCCAGAGCCCAGACAAATGTTACATCACCAGGGAGATCAGTGCAGAGATATGTCACAATGTCCCCAGTAGGCAGAGCCCAGAAAAGAGTTGGATCACCTCGGGATCAGTGCAGAGATACGTCTCAATCCCCCTGTGGGAACAGCGTAGACAAGGGTTAAATCACCTTGCTTATCAGGGCAGAGGTATGTCAAAATGCCACTGTAGGCAGAGCCTACTCAAGTGTTACATCAGTTAGGTGACCAGTGCAGAGATATGCCAAAATACCCCCTGTAAGCAGAGCCTAGACAAGAGTTATATCACCTGGGTGATCAGTGCAGAGATATGTGACAAGGCCCCTTTAAGCAGAGCCTAGACAATGGTTACATCACCTGAGTGATCAGTGCAGAGATCTGTCACGGTGCCCCTTTAGGCAGAGCTTACACCAGAGTTACATCACCTGGGTGAGCAGTGCAGAGATATGTCACAATGCCCCCATAGGCACATCCAAGACAGGAGTCCGTCACCTAGATGATCAGTGCAGAAATATGTGACAATGACCGCTGTAGGCAGAGCCTAGAGAAGAGTCCCATCACCTAGGTGATCAGTGCTGAGTTATGCCACAATGCCCTCTGTAGGCAGAGCCTAGACAAGATTTACATCACCTGGTGGTTCAGTAAAGAGATATTTCACAATGCCCCTGCAGGCAGAGCATAAGCAAGAGTTACATCACCTAGATGATCAGTGCAGAGGTATGTCACAAGGCCCCCTATAGGCAGAGCCTGGACAACAGTTACATCACCTCGGTGATCAATGCAGTGATATGTCACTATGCGCCAGTAGGCAGAGCCTAGTCAAGCATTACATCACCTGGGTCATCAGTGCAGAGATATGTCACAAAGCCCCCATACACAGAGCCTAGACAAGAGTCCCATCACCAGGGTGATCAGTGCAGAAATATGTCACAATGCCCCCTAGGCAGATCCAACACAAGAGTTAAATCACCTCGATTATCAGTGTAGAGATATGTCAAAATGCCCCCGTAGGCAGAGCCTAGACAAAAGTCCCATCACATGGCTGATCAGTACAGAGATATGTCACAAAGCCCCTGTAGGTAGAGCCTAGACAAGAGTTACATCATTTGGTTTATCAATTCAGAGATGTGTCACAATGCCTATGTAGGCAGAGCCTAGACAAATGTTTCATCAGCTGGATGAGCAGTGCAGAGATATGTGACAAGGCCCCTTTAAGCAGAACCTAGACAATAGTTACATCATCTGAGTGATCAATGCTGTGATATGTCACTATGCCCCAGTAGGCAGAGCCTAGTCAAAGGTTTCATCACGTAGGTGATCAGTGCAGAGATATGTCACAAAGCCCCCATACACAGAGCCTGGAAAAGAGTCCCATCACCTGGGTGATCAGTGCAGAAATATGTCGCAATGTCCCCATAGGCAGATCCAACACAAGAGTTATATCACCTGGGTGGTCAGTGTAGAGATATGTCACAATGCCCCCGTAGCAGAGCCTAGACAAAAGTTCCATCAGCTGGGTGATCAGTGCAGAGATATGTCACAAAACCCCTGTAGGCAGAGGCTAGACAAGAGTTACATCGCTTGGTTGATAAGTTCAGAGATGTGTCACAATGCCCATGTAGGCAGAGCCTTGACAAGTGTTCCATCAGCTGGGTGATCAGTGCAGAGATATGTCGCAATGCCCCCTATAGGCAGAGCCTAGACAAGAGTTACATCACCTGGGTAATGAATACAATGATACATCAAAATGCCCCTGTAGGCAGAGCCTAGACAAGAATTAAATCATCTAAGTGATCAGTGCAGTGATACGTCACAAAAATCCTTTCAGACAGAGCCTAAACAAGAGTTACATCACCTGGGTGATCAGTGCAGATATTTGACACAATGACCCCATAGACAGAGCCTAAACAAGACTTCCATCACCTGGGTGATCAGTGCAGAGATATGTCACAAAGACCCCTGTAGGCAGAGCCTAGAGAAGAGTTGCATTGCCTGGGTGATCAGTGCAGAGATATGTCACAATACCCCCGTAGGCGGAGGCTAGACAAGAGTTATATCACCTGGGTGATCAGTGAAGTGATACATCAAAATGCCTCTGTAGGCAGAGCCTAGATGAGAGTTACATCATCTAGGTGATCAGTGCAGTGATATGTCACAAAAATCCCTGTAGACAGAGCCTAGACAAGACTTCCATCACCTGGGTTATCGGTGCAGAAATGTCACAAATCCCCCTTTAGGCAGAGTATAGAGAAAAGTCCCATCACCTGAGTTATCAGTGCAGAGATATGTCATGAAGACCCCTGTAGGCAGAGTGTAGGGAAGAGTCCCATCACCTGTGTTATCAGTGTAGTGATAAGTCACAATGCCGCTGTAGGCAGAGAGTAGAAAAGAGTTGCATTACCTGGGTGATCAGTATGGAGATATGTAACAATGCCCCCTCAGGGCAAAGCCTAGAAAAGAGTTATATCGCCTAGTTGATCAGTGCAGAGGTACGTCACAAAGCCCCCTGAAAGTACACCCTAAAGAAGAGTTACATCACCTGGGTGATCAGTGCAGTGATATGTCACAATTCCCCTGTAGGCAGAGCCTAGAAATGGGTTACATCACCTGGGTGATCACTATAGAGATGTGACAAATCCCCCTTTAGGCAAAGCCTAGAAAGGAGTTGCATCATCTGGGGAATCAGTGCAGAGATATCTCACAATGCACCCATAGGGAGAGCTTAGACAGGGTTCACATCACCTCAGTGATCAGTGCAGAGGTATGTCACAATGCCCCCTTAGGCAGAGCCTAGACAAAAGTTACATCACCTTGATGATCAATACAGAGTGATGTCACGAAGCACCTTGTAGGCAGAGCCTAGAGAAGAGTTAAGTCACCTGCGTGATCAGTGCAGAGATATGTCACAATGCCCCCTGTAAGAAGAGCCTAGAGAAGAGTTGCACCACCTGGGTGATCAGTGCAGAGATATATTACAATGCCCCCTGTAGGCAAAGCCTAGACAAGAGTTACATAACCTCGGTGATCACTTCAGAGATATGTCAAAACGCCCCTGTAGGCAGAGCCTAGAAAAAGTTACATCACCTATGTGATCAGTGCAGAGATATGTCACAATACCCCCTTTAGGCAGAGCCTAGACAAGAGTTACATCACCTGGGTGATCAGGGCAGAGATATGTCACAATGCCCCCTGTAGGCAGAGCCCACACAAGAGTTGCATCACCTCCGTGTTCAGTGCAGAGATATGTCTCAATGTCTCCTGTCGGCAAAGCCCAGAAAAGAATTACATCATCTAGGTCATCAGTGCAGAGATATGTCAAAATGCCCCTGAGGGCAGAGCCTAGAAAAAATTTACATCACCTGGGTGATCAGTGCAGAGACATGTCACAATGTCCATGTAGGCAGAGCCTAGACAAGAGTTACATCACCTGGGTGATCAGTGCAGAGATATGTCACAATGTCTCCAGCAGGCAGAGCCTAGACAAGAGTTACATCACCTCGGTGATCAATGCAGAGATATGTCACAATGCCCCCTGTAGGCAGATCCCAGACAAGAGTTGCATCACCTCGGTGATCAGTGAAGTGATATGTCTCAAAGACCTCTGTCAGCGAAGCCTGTACAAGTTACATCATCTCGGTGATCAGTGCAGTGATATGTTAAAATGCCCCTGTAGGCAGAGCCTAACAAGAGTTACATCACCTGGGTGATCAGTGCAGAGATATCTCACAATACCCCCTGTAAGCTGAGCCTAGACAAGAGTTACATCAACTGGGTGATCAGTGCAGAGATATGTCATAAATCTCACTGTAGGCAAAGCCTTGACAAGTGTTACATCATCTCAGTGATCAGTGCAGAGATATGTCCCAATGCCCCTGTAGGCAGAGCTTAGACAAGAGTCACATCTCCTAGATGATCAGTGCAGAGATACGTCACAGTGCTCCCATAGGCAGAGCCTAGACAAGACTTACATAACCCTGGTGATCCGTGTAGAATGATGTCACAACGCCCTCTGTAGGCAGAGACTGGAAAAGTTACTTCACCTGGGTGATCAGTGCAGAGATATGTCACAATGCCGTTTGTAGGCAGAGCATAGAGAAGAGTTGCATCACCTGGGTGATCAGTGCAGAGATATGTCACAATGTCCCCTGTAGGCAAAGCCTAGGCAAGAGTTACATCACTTTTGTCATCAGTTCAGAGATATGTCAAAACGCCCCTGTAGGCAGAGCCTAGACAAGAGTTACATCACCTAGTTGATCAGTGCAGAGATATTTCACAATACCCCCTGTAGGCAGAGGGTAGACGAGTTACATCACCCAGGTGATCAGTGCAGAGATATTTTACAATACCTCCTGTCAGCAGATCCTAGACAAGAGTTGCATCAACTGGGTGATCAGTGCAGACATACTTCACAATGCCCCCTGTAGGAAGAGGGTAGATCAGAGTTACATCACCTAGGTGATCAGTGCAGAGATATGTCAAAAAGCCCCTTGTAGGCAGAGCCTAGACAAGAATTCTCTCCCCGGGGTGATCAGTGCAGAGATATGTCACAAGGCCCCTGTAGGCAGAGCTTAGATGAGTTACATCACCTGGGTGATCAGTGCAAAGATATGTCACAAAACCCCCTGTAGGCAAAGCCTAGACAATTGTTACATCACTTGGGTGATCCGTGGAGAGATCTCTCACAATTCCCCTGTAGGCAGAGCTTATATAACAGTTACATCACCTGGGTGATCAGTGCAGAGATATTTCACAGTGCCCCCAGAGGCAGATGCAAGACAAGAGTCTGTCACCTGGATGATCAGTGCAGAAATACGTCACAATGCCCTCATAGGCAGAGCCTGGACAAAAGCCCCATCACATGGATGATCAGTGCAAAGTTATGTGACAAAGCAACCTTTAGTCAGATCCTAGACAAGGGTTACATCACCTGGGTGATCAGTGCAGAGATATGTTACAATGCACCCTGTAAGCAATGCCTAGACAGGAGTTACATCACCTCGGTGATCACTTCAGAGATATGTCATAACGCCCCTGTAGGCAGAACCTAGAAATGAGTTATATCACCTGGGTGATCAGGGCAGATATGTCACAATGCGCCCTGTAAGGAGAGCCCAGACAAGAGTTGCATCACCTCGGTGATCAGTGCAGAGATATGTCTCAATTAGTCCTGTCGGCAAAGCCCAGAGAAGAGTTACATCATGTCGGTGATCAGTGCAGAGATATGTCAAAATGCCCCTGTGAGCAGAGCCTAGACAAAATTTACATCACCTGGGTGATCAGTGCAGAGACATGTTACAATGTCCATGTAGGTAGAGCCTAGACAATGGTTACATCACCTGGGTGATCATTGCAGAGTGATGTCACAACGCCCTCTGTAGGCAGAGACTAGAGAAGAGTTACATTACCTGTGTGATCAGTGCAGATATATGTCACTATGTCCCTGTGGCCAGAGCCTAAACAAGAGTTACATCACCTGGGTGATTAGTTCAGAGATATGTCGCATTGCCTCCATAGGCAGATCCAAGACAAGAGTCCGTCACCTGGGTGATCAGTGCAGAAATATGTGACAATGCCCCCAATAGGCAGAACCTAGAGAAGAGTCCCATCACCTGGGTGATCAGTGCAGAGTTATACCACAAAGCCCCCTGTAGGCAGAGCCTAGACAAGAGTTACATCACCTGGTTGATTACTGTAGAGATATGTCACAATGCCACTGTAGGCAGAGCCTAGACAAAAGTCCCATCACCTGGGTGATCAGTGCAGAGATATGTCACAAAGCTCCTGTAGGCAGAGCCTAGACAAGGGTTACATCACTTGGTTGATCAGTTCAGAGATGTGTCACAATGCCCATGTAGGCAGAGCCTAGGCAAGAGCTACAACATCTGAGTGATCAATGCAGTGATATGTCACTATGCCCCAATAGGCAGAGCATAGTCAAGTGTTACATCACTTGGGTGATCAGTGCAGAGATAGGTCAAAATGCCCCCATACACAGAGACTATAAAATAGTCTCATCACCTGCACTACAGCCTGTGTGACAGAGGGAGACCCTGTCGAAAGAAAGGAGTGGAATGGAAGGGATTGAAATGGAATGGAACGGATTGGAGTAGAGTGGAGTGGAATTGAGTGGAGTGCAGTGCAGTGGAATGGAATGGAATGGAATGGTGAAATGAAATGTGAGCTGAGATTGTGCCACTGCACACCAGCCTGGGTGACAGAGTGAGATACAGTCAAAAGAAAGTACTGGAATGGAATGGAGTGGAATGGAATGTAATGGAGTTGAGAGCAGTGGAGTGGAGTAGAAAGGAGTGGAATGGAATGGGATGGAATGGAAAGGACTGGAGTGGACTGGAATGGAGTGGAGTGGAGTGGAATGGATTGGAGTGGAGTGGAGTGGAATTTAATGGAGTAGAATGCAATGGAATGGTGAAATGAAATGTGAGCTGAGATTGTGCCACTGCACTCCAGGCTTGGTGACAGAGTGAGATACTCTCTAAAGAAAGGAATGGAATTGAATGCAGTGGAATGGAATGGAATGGATTGGAGTGGAGTGGAGTGAAGTGGATTGGAGTGCAATCAAGAGGAATGGAAAAAGGTGGAATGGAATGGAATGAAGGAAGAGGAGTGGAGAGGGGTGGAGTGGAGTGCAGTGGGATGGAGCGGAATGGAACGGGATGGAGTGGAATGGAGTGGAGTGGAGTGCACTGGAGTGGAGAGGACTGGAATGGAGTGTAATGGAATCGGATGTAATGGAATGTAGTGCAGTGGAGGGGAGTGGAGTGGAACAGAGTGGAATGGAAGAGAATTGAATGGAATGGAACAGAATGGAAAGGAATGGAATGGAATGGAATGCAATGGAATAGAATGCAACGCAATGGAAAGATGACATGTAATGTGAGCTGAGATTGTGCCACTGCACTCCAGCCAGGGTGACACAGAGATATCCTGTCGAAGGAAAGGAATGGAAAGCAATGGAGTGGAGTGGAGTGGAATGGAATGGCATGGAGTGGAACGGAGTGGAGTGGAGTGGAGTGAAATACAGTGGAATGGAATGGGATGGAATGGAATGCAATGGAATGGTGAAAAGAAATGTCAGCTGAGATTGTGCCACTGCACTCCAGCCTTTGTGACCGAGTGAGATCCTGTGGAAAGAAAGGAATGGAACGGAATGGAATGGAGTGCAATGGAATGCAGTGGAGTGGAGTGGAATTGAGTGGAGTGGAATTGAGTGGAGTGGAGTAGAGTGGAATGGAATGGAGTGGAGTGGAATGGAGTGGCACGGATTGGAATGGAGTGGGAGTGGACTGGAGTGGAAATGGAGAGGAGTGGAGTGGAGTCGAAGGGAATGGAATGGAATGCAGTGGAATGGAATGGAATGAAATGGTGAAAAGAAATGTGTGACACAGGGAGATCCTGTCAAAAGAAAGGAGTGGAATGGAAGGGATTGGAATGGAATGGAATGGATTGGAGTAGAGTGGAGTGGAATTGAGTGGAGTGGAGTGCAGTGGAATGGAATGGAATGGAGTGGAATGATGAAATGATATGTGAGCTGAGATTGTGCCACTGCACACCAGCCTGAGTGACAGAGTGGGATCCTGTCAAAAGAAAGGAATGTAATGGAATGGAGTGGAATGGAATGGATTGGAGTGGAGGGAAGTGGAGTGGAAAGGAGTGGAATGCAATGGGATGGAATGGGAAGGACTGGAATGGACTGGAAAGGAGTGGAGTGGAGTGGAATGTACTGGAGTGGAGTGGAGTGGAATGTACTGGAGTGGAGTGGAGTGGAATAGAATGGAATAGAATGGAATTGAATGGGGAAATATAATGTGAGCTGAGATTGTGCCACTACGCTCCAGGCTGGGTGACAGAGTGAGATACTCTTGAAAGAAAGGAATGGAATGGAATGCAGTGTAATGGAATGGAGTGGACTGCAGAGGAGTGGAGTGGAGTGAAGTGGAGTGGAGTGGAATGGAGATGAATGGAATGAGATGGAATGGAATGCAATGAAGTGGAGTGGGGTGGAGTGGAGTGCAGCCGAATGGAGAGGAATGGAATGGGATGGAGTGGAATGGAGTGGAGTGGAGTGCAGTGGAGTGGAGAGGAGTGGAATAGAGTGGAATGGAATAGGATGTAATGGAATGTAGAGGAGTGGAGTGGAGTCGGAGTCGGAGTGTGATGGAATGTAATGGAAAGGAATGGAATGCAATTGAATGCAAAGAAATGGAAAGTTGACATGTAATGTGACCTGAGATTGTGCCACTGCACTCCAGCCTCTGTGACAGAGTGAGATCCTTTGGAAAGAAAGGAACGGAATGGTATGGAATGGAGTGGAGTAGAGTGGAGTGGAATGGAATGGAATGGAATGCAATGGAAAGCAATGGAATGCAATGGAATAGAATGCAGTGAAAAGGAAAGTTGACATGTAATGTGAGCAGAGATTGTGCCACTGCACTCCAGCCTGGGTGACACAGTGATATCCTGTCAAAAGAAAGGAATGGAATGCAATGGAGTGAAATGGAATGGAATGGAGTGGAGTGGAGTGGAGTGGAATGCAATGGAATGGAGTGGAGTGGAATGGAATGGAGTGGAATGGAATGGTATGGAATGGAGTGGAGTGGAATGGAATGGAGAGGAATGGAGTGGAGTGGAGTGGAATGCAATCGAATGGAATGTAATGGAAGGGAATGGAATGGAAGGGAATGGAATGGAGTGGAATGGAATGAAATGGAATGGAGTGGAGTGGAGAGGAGTGGAATGGAATGGAATAGAGTGGAATGGAGTGGAAAAGAGTGGAATGGAATGTGGTGGAATGAAATGGAGTGGAGTGGACTGGAGTAGAGTGGAATGGAATGCAGTGGAATGGAATGGAGTGTAATGGAATGGAATGGAATGGAACGGAATGGAATGGAATGAAATGGTGAAAAGAAATGTGTGCTGAGATTGTGTCACTGCACTAAACCTGTGTGACAGAGGGAGATCCTGTCGAAAGAAAGGAGTGAAATGGAAGGGATTGGAATGGAATGGATTGGAGTGGAGTGGAGTCGAATTGAGTGGAGTGGAGTGCTGTGGAATAGAATGGAATGGAATGGAATGGTGAAGTGAAATGTGAGATGAGACTGTACCACTGCACACCAGCCTGGGTGACAGAGTGAGATCCTGTCAAAAGAAAGGAATGGAATGGAGTGGAGTGGAGTGGAAAGGAGTGGAATGGAATGGGATGGAATGGAAAGGAGTGGAGTGGACTGGAATGGCGTGGAGTGGAATGGAGTGGAATGGATTGGAGTGGAGTGGAGTGGAGTGGGATGGAATGGAATGGAATGGTGAAATGAAATGTGAGCTGAGATTGTGCCACTGCGCTCCAGGCTGGGTGACAGAGTGAGATACTTTCAAAAGAAAGGAATAGAATGGAATGCAGTGGAATGGAATGGCATGGAATGGAGTGGAGTGGGGTGAAGTGGAGTGGACTGGAATGGAGAGGAATGGAATAGGATGGAATGGAATGGAATGAAGTGGAGATGAGTGGGGTGGAGTGGATTGCAGTGGAATGGAGTGGAATGGGATGGAGTGGAATGGAGTGAAGTGCAGTGGAGAGGAGAGGAGTGGAATGGAGTGGAATGGAATCGGATGTAAAGGAATTTAGTGGAGTGGAGTGGAGTGGAACGGAGGGTTATGGAATGGAATTGAATGGAATGGAATGGTGAAATGAAATGTGATCTAAGATTGTGCCACTGAACTCCAGTCTGGTTGATAGAGTGAGATCCAGTAGAAATAAAGGAATGGAGTGGAGTGGAGTGGAATGGAGTAGAGTGGAATGGAGTGGAGTGGAATGGAATGGCATGGAATGGAGTGGAATGGAATGGAGTGGAGTGGAATGGAGTGGAGTGGAATGGAATGGAAAGGAGTGGAGTGGAATGGAATGGCATGGAAGGGAGTGGAGTGGAGAGAAGTAGAGTGGAATGGAATGGAGTGGAGTGGAGTGCAATGGAGTGGAATGGAGTGGAGTCGAATGGAATGGGATGGAGTGGAATGGAATGGAGTGGAGTGGAGTGAAATATAGTGGAATAGAATGGGATGGAATGGAACGCAATGGAATGGTGAAAATAAATGTGAGCTGAGATTGTGATACTGCACTCCAGCCTTTGTGACAGAGTGAGATCCTGTGGAAAGAAAGGAATGGAATGGAAGGGAATGCAATGGAGGGGAGGGGAGTGGAATGGAGTGGAATGGAGTGGAGTGGAGGGGAGTGGAATTGAGTTGAGTGGAGTGGAATAGAGTGGAATGGAATGGAGTGGAGTGGACTGGCATGGAGTGGAATGGAGTGGAGTGGATTGGAGTGGAATGGAGAGGAGTGGAGTAGAGTGGAATGGAATGGAGTGGATTGGCATGGAGTGGCATGGAGTGGAATGGAGTGGAGTGGAGTGGAATGGAGAGGACTGGAGTGGAGTGGAAGGGAATGGAATGGAATAGAGTGGAATGGAATGGAATGAAATGGTGAAAAGAAATGTGTGCTGAGATTGTGCCACTGTGCTACAGCCTGTGTGACACAGGGAGATCCTTTTGAAGGAAAGGAGTGGAATTTAAGGGATTGGAATGGAATGGAATGGAGTGGACTGGAGTGGAATGGAATTGAGTGGAGTGGAGTGGAGTGCGGTGGAATGGAATGGAATGGAGTGGAATGGTGAAATGAAATGTGAGCTGAGATTGTGCCACTGCACACCAGCCTGGGTGACAGAGTGAGACCCTGTCAAAACAAAGGAATGGAATGGAGTGGAATGGAATGGAGTGGAGTGGAAAGGAGTGGAATGGAATGGACTGGAATGGAGTGGAGTGGAATGGAATGGGATGGAATAGAATGGAATGGAATGGTGAAATGAAATGTGTGCTGAGATTGTGCCACTACACTCCAGGCTGGGTGACAGAGTGAGATACTCTCGAAAGAAAGGAATGGAATGGAATGGAATGCAGTGTAATGTAATGTAATGGAATAGAACGGAATGGAGTGAACTGGAGAGGAGTGGAGTGAAGAGGAGTGGCGTGGAATGGAGAGGAATGGAATAGAATGAAGTGGAGTGGAGTGGGGTGGAGTGGAGTGCAGTGGAATGGAACGGAATGGAATGGGATGGAGTGGAATGGAGTGGAGTGCAGTGGAGTGCAGAGGAGTGGAATGGAGTGGAATGGAATCGGATGTAATGGAATGTAGAGGAATGGAGTGGAGTGGAGTCGAACGGAGTGGAATGGAATGGAAAGGAATGGAATGGAATGGAATGCAATGGAAAGGAATGGAATGCAATTGAATGTAATGGAATAGAATGCAATGCAATGGAAAGTTGACATGTAATATGAGCTGAGATAGTGCCACTGCACTCCAGCCTGGGTGACACCATGATATACTGTGGAAAAGAAGCTATGGAATGCAATGGAGTGAAATGGTATGGAATGGAATGGAATGGAGTTGAGTGGAGTCGAGTTTAGTGGAATGGAGTCGACTGGAGTGGAATGGAGTCGAGTGGAGTGAAATAGAGAGGAATGGAATGGGATGGAATGGAATGCAATGGAATGGTGGAAAGAAATGTGAGCTGAGATTGTGCCACTGCACTCCAGCCTATGTGACAGAGTGACATCCTTTGGAAAGGAAGGAACGGAATGGCATGGAATGGAAGGGAGTGGAGTGGAGAGGAGTGGAGTGGAATGGAATGGAGTGGGATGGAATGCAATGGAAATGAATGGAATGGAACAGAATGGAACGGAATGGAATGGAATGGTGAAAAGAAATGTGTGCTGAGATTGTGCCACTGCGCTGCACCCTGTGTGAGAGGGAGATCCTGTCGAAAGAAAGGAGTGCAATGGAAGGGATTGGAATTGAATGGAATGGAATAGGTTGGAGTGGAGTGGACTGGAATTCAGTGGATTGGAGTGGAGTACAGTGGAATGGAATGGAATGGAATGGTGAAATGAAAAGTGGGCTGAGATTGTGCCAATGCACTCCAGCCTGGGTGACAGAGTGAGATCCTGTCAAAAGAAAGGAATGGAATCTAATGGAGTGGAATGGAATGGAGTGGAGTAGAGTGCATTGGAGAGGAAAGGAGTGGAATGGAATGGAAAGGAGTGGAGTGGAATGGAATGGAGTGGAGTGGAATGGATTGCAGTGGAGTGGAGTGGAGCGGAATGGAACTGAATGGATTGGAATTGAATGGAATGGTGAAACGAAATGTCAGCTGAGATTGTGCCACTGCTCTCCAGGCTGGGTGATGGAGTGAGATACTCTCAAAAGAAAGGAAAGGAATGGAATGCAGTGGAATGGAATGGAGTGGACTGGAGTGGAGTGGAGTGGAGTGGAGTGAAGTGGAGTGGAGTGGAATGGAGAGGAATGGAATGGGATAGAATGGAATGGAATGAAGTGGAGTGAAGTGGGGTGGAGCGGAGTCCAGTGGAATGGAGTGGAATGGAATGGGATAGAGTGGAATGGAGTGGTGGGGAGAGCAGTGGAATGGAGAGGAGTGGAATGTAATTGGATGTTATAGAATGTAGTGGAGTGGAGTGGAACGGAATGGAATGGAATACAATGGAATGCAATGGAATGCAATGGAATGCAATGGAATTCAGCAGAATGCAATGGAATAGAATGCAATGAAATGGAAAGTTGACATGTAATGTGAGCAGAGATTGTGCCACTGCACTCCAGCCTGGGTGACACAGTGATATCCTGTCGAAAGAAAGGAATGGAATGCAATGGAGTGAAGTGGAATGGAATGAAAGGGAGTGGAGTGGAGTGGAGTGGAGCAGAATGGAGTGGAATGCAATGGAATGGAATGGAGTGGAGTGGAATGGAATGGCATGGAATGGAGTGGAGTGGAATGGAATGGAATGGAGAGGAATGGAGTGGAGTGGAGTGGAATGCAATGGAATGTAATGTAATGGAAGGGAATGGAATGGAGTGGAATGTGGTGGAGAGGAGTGGAAGGGAGTAGAATGGAATGGAGTGGAATGAAATGGAATGGAGTGGAAAAGAGTGGAATGCAATGCAGTGGAATGAAATGGAGTGGAGTGGACTGGAGTAAAGTGGAATGGAATGCAGTGGAATGGAATGGAGTGGAGTGGAGTGGAAAGGAGTGGAATGGAATGGGATGGAATGGAAAGGAGTGGAGTGGACTGGAGTGGAGTGGAATGGATTGGAGTGGAGTAGAGTGGAGTGGAATGGAATGGAATGGTGAAATGAAATGTGAGCTGAGATTGTGCCACTGTGCTGCAGGCAGGGTGACAGAGTGAGATACTTTTGAAAGAAAGGAATAGCGTGGAATGCAGTGGAATCGAATGGAATGGAATGGAGTGGACTAGAGTGGAGTGGAGTGAGGTGAAGTAGAGTGGACTGGAATGGAGAGGAATGGAATGGGATGGAATGGAATGGAATGAAGTGGAGATGAGTGGGGTGGAGTGGATTGCAGTGGAATGGAGCAGAATGGAATGGGATGGAGTGGAATGGAGTGCAGTGGAGTGCAGTGGAGAGGAGAGGAGTGGAATGGAGTGGAACGGAATTGGATATAATGGAATTTAATGGAGTGGAGTGGAGTAAAGTGGAACGGGAGTGTTATGGAATGGAATGGAATAGAATGGATTCGAATGGAATGGAATGGAATGGACTCGAATGGAATGGAATCAAATGAAATGGAATCTAATGAAATGTAATAGAATGGAATGGACTCGAATTGAATGGATCAGAATGGAACGGTCTCGAATGGAATGGAATCGAATGGAATGCAATCGAGTGGAATGGAATGGACTCGAATGGAAAGGAATGGAATCAAAAGGAATGGAAACGGAATGGACTCAAATGGAATGGACTGGAATGGAAGGCAATCGAATGGAATGGAATCGAATGGAATGGAATCAAATGTAATGGACTGGAATGGAATGGATTCAAATGGAATGGACAGTAATGGAATGGTCCCGAAAGGAATGGAATGGAATGGAATAGAATGGAATGGACTCGAAAGAAATGGCCTGGAATGGAATGGACTTGAATGGAATGGACTCGAGTGAAATGGAATAAAATGGAATGGAATAGAATTTAATGGAATGGAATGGAATGGATTGGAATGGAAAGGAATTGAATCGAATCAAATGTTATGGAATCAAATGGAAGGAAACGGAATGGAATGGAATGGATTCGAAGGGAATGGAATGGAATGGAATGACATGGAATGGAATGGAATGGAATGGAATGACATGGAATGGAATGGAATGGATTCGAAAGGAATGGAATGGAATGGACTCAAAAGGAATGGACTGGAATGGCATGGAATCGAATGGAATTGAATGCAATGGAATGCAATGGAATGGACTCGAATGGAATGGAATGGAAAGGAATGGAATGGACTGGAATGAAATGGAATTGAATGGAATGGAATGGACAGGAATGGAATGGACTCAAATGGAATGGAATCGAAAGGAATGGAATTGAATGGAATGGAATAGAATGGAATGGAATAGACTCGAAGGTAATGGACTGGAATGGAATGGACTTGAATGGAATGGACTCGAATGGAATGGAAACGAATGGAATGGAATCTAATTGAATGGAATCGAATGGAATGCAAACGAATGGAATGGAATCAAATGAAAGGGAATCAATTGGAATGGACTCGAATGGAATGGACTCGAATGTAATGGACTGGACTGGAATGGTATGGAATGGAATTCAAAGCAATGGAATGAAATGGAATGGATCCGAATGGAATGGACTGGACTGGAATGGACTGGAATGGAAAGGAATGGAAGGGAAGGGAATGCATTGGACTCGAATTTAATGGAATGGAATAGAATGGAATGGAATTGATTTGAATGGAATGGAATCGAATGGAATTGAATTGAATGGAATGACATGGAATGGAATCAAATGGAATGGAATGGAATGAATTCGAACGGAATGGAATGGAATGGACTTGAAAGGAATGGACTGGAATGGAATGGAATGGATTCAAATTTAATGGAATGGAATAGAGTGGAATGGAATGGAATAGAATGGAATGGAATGGATTGGAATGGAATTGATTTGAATGGAATGGAATCGAATGGAATTGAATTGAATGGAATGGCATGGAATGGAATCAAATGGAATGGAATGGAATGAATTCGAACGGAATGGAATTGAATGGACTTGAAAGGAATGGACTGGAATGGAATGGAATGGATTCAAATTTAATGGAATGGAATAGAATGGAATGGAATGGATTGGAATGGAATTGATTTGAATGGAATGGAATCGAATGGACTGGAATGGAATGGAATGGAATGGAATCGAGTGGAATGGCATAAAATGCACTGGAATCTAATGGAATGGAATGGACTAGAATGGAATGGAATGGACTCGAATGGAATGGACTGGAATGGAATGGACTAGAATGGAATGGACTCGAAAGGAAGAGGAATCAAATGGAATGGAATAGAACAGAATGGAATCAAATCGGATGGCATGCAATCGGATGGCATGCAATCGGATGGAACGGATTAGAATGGAATGGAATGCAATCGAAATTGAATGGAATGGACTGGAATGGAAAGGACTCGCATGGAATGGACTCGCATGGAATGGAATGGAAAGGAATGGAATGGAAAGGAAAGGAAAGGAAAGGAAAGCAATGGAATAGAATGGTACGGACTCGAATGGAACGGACTCGAATGGAACAGACTTGAATGGAATGGACTCGAATGGGATGGAATCAAATGGGATGGAATCAAATGGAACGGACTGCAATGCAATGGACTTGAAAGGAATCGCCTCGAATGGAATGGAATGGTATGGAATGGAATAGAGTGGATTGTACTCGAATGTAATCGACCGGAATGGAATGGAATTCAATGAAATGAACTTGAATGGAATGCAATCGAATGGAATGGAATGGTATGGAATGGAATGGAGTGTAATTCAATGGACTCGAATGGAATGTAATCGAATGGTATGCATTCGAATGGAATGTAATCCAATGGAATGGAATTGGATGGAATGGACTGTAGTGGAATGGACTGGAATGGAATGGACTCAAAGGGAATGGATTGGAATGATATGGACTTGAATGGAATGGACTCGAAAGGAATGGAATCGAATGAAATGGAATTGAATGGAATGGAATTGAATGGAAGGGATTTGAAACGAAAGGAATGGAATTGAATGGAATGGAAACTAATGGAATGGAATGGAATGCAATGGAATGGAATCGAATGGAATGTAATCGAATGGAATGGAATCGAATGGAGTGTAATAGTACAGTCTCGAATGGAATGGAATTGAATGGAATGGAATCGAATGGAATGGAATCGAATGGAATGGAAAGGAATGGAATGGAACCGAATGGAATGGACTGGAATGGAATGGAATCGAATGGAATGGACTCAAAGGGAATGGAATGGAATGGAATGGACACGAATGGAATGGATTCGAATTGAATGGATGCAAATGGAATGGATTCAATTGGATGGACTCGAATGGAATGCAATCGAATGGAATGCAATCAAACGGGATGGAATCGAATGGAATAGAATTGAATGGAATAGAATCGAATGGAATAGAATCGAATGGAATAGAATCGAATGGAAGGGAATCGAATGGAATGGACTGGAATGAAATGGACTTGATTGGAATGGACTCGAATGGAATGGACTCGAAAGGAAATGAATCGAATGGAATGGAATAGAATGGAATGGAATCTATTCTAATGGAATGGAATGGAATACAATCGAATGGAATGCAATGGAATGGAATGGAATCGACTGGAATGGACTTGAATGGAATGGAATCTTCTTGAATGGAATGGATTGGAAGCGACTGGAATGGACTTGAATGGAATGGAATCTTCTGGAATGGAATGAAATGGATTTGATTGGAGTGGACTGGAATGGAGTGGACTAGAATGGAATGAACCCAAAAAGAAAGGAATCGAATGGAATGGAATAGAATTGAATGCAATGGAATGGAATGGAATAGAATCAAATGGAATGGAATCGAGTGGAATGGAATCGAGTGGAATGGAATCGAGTGGAATGGAATGGAATGGAATCGAATACAGGACTGGAATGGAATGGACTCGAATGGATTGGACTGGAATGGAATGAACTCGAATGGAATGAACTCGAATGGAAGGAACTCGAATGGAATGAACTCGAATGGAATGCAATCGAATGGAATGCAATCTAATGGAATGCAATTGAATGGAATGAAATCGAATGGAATGGATTGGAATGGAATGGAATCGAATATAATGGAATGGAACGGAATGGAATCAAATGTAATGGACTCGAATGCAATTCACTGGAATCGAATGGACTCGAATGGAATGAACTTGAATGGAATGGAGTCTAATGTAATGGAATCGAATGCAATGGAACCATATATATATATATATATATATATGTACACACACACACACCGAGTACATGCCCAGTAGTGGGATTACTGGCTCAAATGGTATTTCCGTTTCTAGATCCTTGAGGAATCACCACACTGCCTTCCGCAATGGTTGAACTAATTCACACTCCCACCAACAGTGTAAAAGCATTCCTATTTCTCCACATCTGCTCCAGCATCTGTTGTTTCCTGAGCTTTTAACAATTGCCATTCTAAATGACGTGAGATTGTATCTCATTGTGGTTTTGATTTGCATTTCTCTAATGATCAGTGATGATGAGCTTTTTTTCAGATGTTTGCTGGCTGCATAAATGTATTCTTTTGAGAAGAGTCTGTTCATATCCTTTGCCCACTTTTTGATGAGATTGTTCTTTTCTTGTAAATTTGTTAAAGTTCCTTGTAGATTCTAGATATTAGGCCTTTGTCAGATGGACAGATTGCAAACATTTCCTCCCATTCTGTAGGTTGCCTGTTCACTCTGATCATAGTATTGGAAGTTCTGGCCAGGGTAATCGGCAAGAGAAAGAAATAAACGGTATTCAAATAGGAAGAAAGGAAGTCGAGTTGTCTCTGTTTGCAGATGACATGATTGTATATTTAGAAAACCAAATAGTCTCAGCCCCAAATCTCCTTCAGCTGATAAGCAACTTCCTCATAGTCTCAGGATACAAAGTCAATGTGCAAAATTCACAAGCCTTCCTATACACCAGTTATAGAGCACTAAATCATGAGTGAACTCCCATACACAATTGCTACAAAGAGAATAAAATAACAAGGAATACAACTCACAAGGGATTTGAAGGACCTCTTTAAGGAGAACTACAAACCACCACTCAAGGAAATAAGAGGACACAAACAAATGGAAAAACATTCCATGCTTATGGATAGGAAGAATCAATATCTTGAAAATGGCCATACTGCCCAAAGTAATTTGTAGTTTCAATGCTATACCCATCAAGCTACCATTGACTTTCTTCACAGAATTAGAAAAAACTACTTTAAATTTCATATGGAACCAAAAAAAGAGCCCACATAGCCAAGACAATCCTAAGCAAAAAGAACAAAGCTAGAGGCATCATGCTACCTGACTTCAAACTATACTACTAGGCCACAGTAATGAAAACAGTATGGTACTGGTACCAAAAGAGATATATAGACCAATGCAACAGAACAGAGGCCTCATAAATAATGCCATACATCTACACCATCTGATCTTTGACAAACCTGACAAAGCAATGGGGAAAGGATTCCCTATTTAATAAATGGTGTTGGGAAAACTGGCTAGCCTTATGCAGGAAACTGAAACTGGACCCCTTCCTTACACTTTATACAAAAATTAACTCAAGATGCATTAAAGACTTAAAAGTCAGTTCTAAATGTGTAAAAACCCTGGATGAAAACCTAGGCAGTACCATTCAGGACATAGGCATGGGCAAATACTTCATGACTAAAACACCAAAAGCAATGGCAACAAAAGCCAAAATTGAAAAATGGGATCTAATTAAACTAAAGAACTTGTGTGCAGTTTTATTTGGGAGTGTGAGTGGGGTACCTCTGAGTTTTAAAAATGAAGAAAGTAAGTAGTCGTGCTTTCCTGACTCTTTGGTAGACATAGCCTTTTAAGACAGTCATTCTGAGCTGTTATAGTCTTAGGGTTTTCTGTACTACTAAAACTTATTGACGACATCTAACCAAGAACTTGAATTAAATTTTTTTTTTTAAAAAAGAAAATCACCCAAATACACATTAAAAACCTCTTACAACATATGTGCACATTCATAGATACCCTGTAGAACTTGATTTTGTGTATTAAAACCTTGTAGAAAAGTTCAGACAGTGCACACAATGACTGCAACTTGGTCTTTGCAAAATCAGTGATATATATTTCAGATCTATCCACATTGACCCAGCGAGGTATTTGATTTATTGTATGATCTAATGATATGCCATGTGATGACTGCAGCATATTTAATTATGCTTTCTTCATGCTGATACCATATGGTCATAAATATGATGACATACCAGCATGGATATGCTTACGTGGTTGGTTTTATTGATTTGTACTATATTAGAAATGAAACAGAAGTATTAGAAATCCTAGCAAGCATAGCTGTATCTCTCCCATGGCTGTGTTGATTGCAACAGTTTCCCCTTAAAGCATGTCTTTTTGACATGTCATGACCCTGAGAAAATCCAGTGTATGCTTTTCAGAGAATGACAGTAAGGAGAGGAAATGGCCGATGGTCAAACTGTTACTTGTTCTCTTGGCTCCCCCTCATGAATGTTAAACTCTAAACTACTCAGGTCACAATTTAGAACCCCTTTGTTGATCCCCACAGAGTGTTCCCGGATGTCAAATGACAAATAGGCCCTTGAAGAAAAAACACCCTGTAAAGCCATATTGCTCTGGTTTTTGTGTGTGAATGTGTGTGTGTGTGTGTGTGTGTGTGTATCTGTGCGTATTTTTTCTCTTCTGAAAACTGTAAATAGAATAATTTTCATTACAAATGAAAATATTTCTGTTCCACATTTATTTCCTGTCTCATAGCACTCTGCTCTTCTTGGATCTAGTAAGGATCTCAGCGTTACTTATTTATACCTGCAAAAAATTACATCATTCTTCATTTTTCATGTCAATTACTGACATGTTTTCAAGTCTTCACAAGTTATTTCTGAAGATGTTGGTTCATTGAGGAGAGGCAGTGTCATTGTAGTTAAAGAAGTTTTTAAATAGGTTATGTTCAATAGAATTTCAGAGCCCGTTTCTCTAGAAGGTATAGACATAGTGGTTTTATGCGTAGTTAAACATAAAATAGCTCCACAAAGTCTTTTGTACGTGAAAGTGTTCATATCCTGGAAGATTCTAATTTACTACTCGTACTGTCTCCTGGAGAGGAAAATAGGTAAGATAGGCTGCTGAGCCTATGATAATAACTCATGATATGAGGTGAAAGCATAGAGCCAAAATGAGAGATGATACTCAAACCGATGTGAGTGAAGAACAGTTGTGAAAGTGTCTATGGGAGAGAGAAGGCCATGGCGCTGCTTTTGTGAAGAAGGAATTTGTACACGTTAGTAAAGTGTCTGATACATTTAACATTTTAATAAAACAAAACCTTATCTTCACATGTGTCAGAATGGGATTGTACAGATGTCAGAATACAGTAGTAGTGAGAATAATGAAGAAATGAAAGTGGAGGGCAAAGAATGAAGTCCACCAATATGGATATTAGCTTTATGAATGAAAAAGAGTGTATGTCAAACTGGGCAGAACAAAGAAAGCAGCTAGCTAGGTAATTTGGAGGCTTCTGATGAGGAGACTTGTGGGGAGTCACTTAATGGAAAGCGGAAGTTAGAAGGATGAGGGTGACCCCCAGGGTTTCACTTCTACTCCCTAGAAGTTTTGCACATCAATGATATGTGCTTCGTTCACGTCAGTTAGCATATTGGGATGCAGCTTAATCTAGAAAAAGTTTTTTCTTTAGGAAAGCTGTGCTTGCTGAAGTAGTTATTTCATACCTGAGAGACCCCTATGGTATATTATTTCAAACTAGCTTTAGAAACAAAGTAGTAAAAGAATGTATATCTTGAGTACTAAAAAAAACTACCAATATTCTTGGCAATCATGACATATCTATATATAGATATATATATATAGATATAGTACATATGTATATGTATATATTTGGTTGGTTATTAATAAGAAAAGAAGTCTTGTGATTTAGAGATTTTGTTTACCTTATTTACATGGGAATCTGATTATGCATGATTTCTTTGACATGTATGTTTTTGCAAAAGTGGAAAAAGATGGCAAAAGAGCTGAACTGCTGAATACGGGAAATGTAGGAATATTAGGAGCCTTCATGAGTACAAAGAAAATAATTTTTTAAATTATGACTCTAAGTATAACTGAACTCACTTCAGATGCATTTAGAATATTTGCATAAAAGATGATTTGATTTTGGCTGCTCCAGAAACTACTGGAAGAAGGAAAGAGTTACTAGAATTCAGATAAACCACAATGACTCATTACTTCTCTTTGTTACTATTGGGAATCAGAGACATAGATTTTGTTGATATTAGTCATTCAAATGAAATAAGCATGAATGTGCATACATTGGCTTTGTTTTCCAAGGAGCTAACTTTTGGATGCAATAGCAATTTAATGAAAATTTCTTAGAGAATAACATGATACTTCAAACCAGACTATTTTAGAAACAAGAATAATGTTGAATTCATTAATTGATTCATAAAATGTTTATCTTCAATGAATATTGGAGTCATTCCCAAATGTGAAAGCTTATTAATATCTAATGCTTGTAGCAGTTTTATTTTGTAGAAATACGTCAATATTGACAAGTGATGATACTTTTTATTGAGGTTTACATATTATACCTTATTGCCGTGAGTGGATGAAAAAACTTTCAGAAGGCTGAACTAGAGAACACAAGAAACTTGGGCAATAATTACACCACATGAGTCTGAGAAATAATCAATACTCTCTACTAGGATTCACCAAACATATATCCAGGCTGATCAATTTAGGACAGTTCCACTGAGGAGATGTGAAGTGTACATTCAGCTGAAGCGTCATCGTAATTGTGTACCTTCTCAGTTATTGGGCAAGTTAAAGAGCATGATGAATGGTTGTAGTATAATAGTGTATTTACTTCTCATCTCTTGCACTAAAGACATGTGAGAGCACGTACCACCTGCTTTGACATTGATTCCCAGGTGCATGAGTTGCTCCTCTGTTTTTAGACCACATTTGTTTTTATCCCTCCGCATATCCACATTGATACTGACACTGTTTCATTTTAGTTTTAGACATATGACAAATCATATCGCGTTTGAAATTGTAAGTGTATATTTCATGAAGCCTGTATTGGTGTTTTCTTCAGTGTGTTTCTGTCATATTCCAGTCCCAATACACAAAGTATAAAACATAAAAACCTAAACTAATAGAGGCAGGAGGATACAGCTTGATGGTAACAGTGCATGAATGTATGGATAATTTTATCATATTTACATATGACTGATTATGTATCCCTTTTGCTTTTCAGTGTCTTCTCAGAAACAAGCAGCCTTGAAGGTAATTACACATTCATTTCTGCTGTGAACTATTAACTATATAGTCTGTGAAATATACTTTATGTATTGATTATTTTGTTTCAAATCCCATTCAGGCTACAAGTGACAAGAAAGATTCTGTTTCGAATATAGCCACAGAAATAAAGGATGGACAAAACTCTGGGACAGGTAATTTTGCAATACACATTTAATGTCATTTCACTTAGGGTAGAAGGGTGACGCTGATGCTGCTGGTCCTTGGCCATGATCTGAGTAGTAAGATTATATTCTTCCCCACAGTGAAATTGGCAAGAACGATTGGAGAGCAGTGCAAGATATAACAGGCTAAGGGACAGCATATTCTTGCTTTAATTCTACAGCATGTTTCCATCGTAAAGGGAAGGAGAACGAGATTAAGTAATAAAAATTATAGGCGTCAGATCATATTGTTAAAACCACATGGAAGAAGTGATTGGAATAACCCATAAACAATGTAGAAACAGAACTAAGGAGACGTCTGATGTGGTAATTATTTTACTCAAGGAAGAAGGATTGAGAGGCAAGAAGGAGGGAAAAGAAGATGTTATTTATGTAATTTTGGGGTTTCTGCTGCAGAAACCTGATGGGACTCACTTCAGATGCATTTGGAATATTTGCATAAAAGAAGATTAAATTTTGGCTGCTCCAGGAACTACTGGAAACAGGATAGAGTGTTAGAATTGTGATGACCCACAGTGACTCATTACCCCTCTTTGTTACTATTGGGCGTCAGAGATATATGTTTTGTTGGTATTAGCTATTCAAATAGGATAATCATGAATATGCATACATTGGCTTTGTTTTTCAAGGAACTAACTTTTGGATAAAATAGCAATTTAATGAAAATACTTTAGAGAATAACACGATCCTTCAAACCAGACTATTTTAGAAACAAAATAATGTTGAATTCATTAATTGACTCCTAAAGTGGTTATTTTCAATGAATATCAGAGCAATTTCCAAATGGAAAAGCTTATTCATATCTAATGTTTTTAGTAACTTTATTTTGTATCAGTATGCCAAATTTGATGGTTTATTATACTTTTTGATGAGGTTTATATATTATACCTTCTTGCCATGAGTGGATGAAGAAACTTTCTGAAGGCTAAACTAGAGGATACAAGAAATGCAGGCACAGTATGACACCACAGCGGTGTGAGAAATAAGGAATATTATATGCTAGGATTCACCAAACATATATTTAAGGTGATCAATTAGGGACACTTCCACAGAACACTTGAGAAGTGTACATTCAGCTAAAGTGCCATTGTCATTGTGTACCTGCTCAATTGTCAGTCAAGTTTAAGAGCGTGATAAATATTTGTAGCATAATGGTATAAATCCCTCTGATGTCTTACATGAAAAACATGCAGGAGCATTAATCACCTGCTTTGACATTGATTCCCAAGCGTATGAGTTGCTGCTCTGATTTTAGACCACATTTGTCCTCATCACTTGGCATATCCACATTGATATAAACACTGTTTTATTGTAGTAATAGACATATGAATAATAATATCACATATGAAATTGGAAGTGTTTGTTCCGTGAAGACTATACTTCTGTTTTCTACAGTGTAATTCTGTCATGTTCCTGTCCCAATACACAAAGTAGAAAACATCAAAGCCTACGCTAATTCAGGCAGGAGGATACAGCTTGATGCTAACACTGCATGAAAGTATGGATAACTTTATCATATTTACATACGAGTGATTATGTATCCCTTTTGGTTTTCAGTGTCTTCTCAGAAACAACCGGCCTTGAAGGTATTACACTCTTCATTCATATTTTGAATTATTAACTGTATAGTCTATGAAATATACTGTATGTATTGATTATTTTGTTTGAAATCCCATTCAGGATACAAGTGACAAGAAATATTCTGTTTTGAACATAGCCACAGAAATAAAAGATGAACAAAAATCTGGGACAGGTAATTTTGCAATACACATTTAATGTCATGTTTTCTCAAGATAGAGGAGAACTTCCCTTCCCCGAATATTTGGCCATGATCTGAGTAGTAAGATTATAGATTTCCCTACATTGAAATTGGGAAGAAGAACCACTGGAGAACAGTTCAAGACATAACAGGCTGAGGGGACAGCATAATTGTGCTTTAATTCTACAGCATGTTTCCATCAAGAGGGGAAGGAGAACAAGATGAAGTACTAGAAATTATAGGCGCCAGATCACATTGCTAAAACCAGAGGGAGGAAGTGATCGTAATAAGCCATAAACACTATAGAAGGAGAAGTAACGAGACCGCTGATGTAGTAATCATTTTCCTCAGGGAAGAGGGATTGTGAGGCAGGAAGAAGGGAAAAGAAGTTATTTAATTTTAGGGTTTGTACTGAGGAAACCTGAGGGAACTCACGTCAGATGCATTTAGAATGTTTGCATAAAGGAAGATTTGATTTTGGCTGTTCCAGGAACTACTGGAAAGAGGATAGAGTGCCAGAATTGTGATAAACCACAGTCACCTGTTACCCCTCTTTGTAATTATTGGGCATCAGAGATATATGTTTTGTTGTTATCAGTTAGTCAAATGAGATAAATGTAAATATGCATACACTGGCTTTGTTGTTCAGAGAGCTAACTTTTGGACAAAATAGCAATTTAATGAAAATACTTTAGAGAATAACATGATCCTTCAAACCAGACTTATTTTAGAAACAAAAATAATGTTAAATTCTTTAATTGACTCCTAAAATATTTATTTTTAATGAATATTGGAGTGATTTCCAAATGAACAACCTTATTCATATCTAATGCTTGTAGCCACTTTATTGCGTGTAAGTATATCAAATTTGATAATTTTTTATACATTTTGATTAGGTTTGTATATTATACCTTGTTCCCATGAGTGACTGACAAAACTTTCTGAAGGTTAAACCAGAAAATACAAAAGTGTAGGCTCATTATTATACCACATGGGTATGAAAAATAATGAATACAATATAATAGGATTCACCAAACAGATATCCAAGCTGACCAATTCGGGACACTTCCACTGAGGAGCTTTGAAGTGTACATTCATCTAAAGTGTTATTGTCATTGTGCACCTGCTCAATTGTCAGGCAAGTCAAAGAGCATGATGAATATTTGTAGTATAATGGTTTAAACCCTTCTGATGTCTTGTATGAAAGACATGCGCAATCCTGGCTCACTTCAACTTTCACCTTCTGGGTTCAAGTGATTCTCCTGTCTCAGTCTCCTGAGTAGCTGAGTTTACAGGTGTGCACCACCAACCTGGTAATTTTTGTATTTTTACTAGAGATGGGCTTTCACCATGTTGGCCAGGTTGGTCTCAAACTCCTGACCTCAAGTGATCCACCCACCTCGGCCTCACAAAGTGCTGGGATTACAGGCATGACCCACCGAGCCCTGCCTACATGATTTTTTTAAATTTTTTTAGCTTTTTAAAATAAAGATAGAATGTTTCTGTGTTGCCCAAGGTGGTCTGAAATGCCTGGACTTCTCAAGTGATACTTCTGCCTGAACCTTTTGAGTAGCTGAGATTATAGGAACAAGTCACTGTGCTCTTTTATGTTTTTAATATTTTATAAGTTCCTATTGATTTAAAATGCATTTTACATTTTGTTTAATAGTGCTTCCTGCTGTTGAACAGTGTTTAAACAGGTATGATTTCACAGATTTTTTAAAGTGATATGTTAACTTAGTGAATAGAGAGAATAGAAACTAGTATCCGTTTGGTGTTCTCCTCTGTGCTAGACACCATATTACATGCTTAATATTTATCATGTCATGTCGTCTCCACACAGCTTTACAAACTATTTGTGCTATTATTGCTTTTTTGCTAATTAGACAACTCTGCTTTAAAGAGGTTGAAATATTGGCTCATGATTCCACAGTTAACAGGTAGCCAACTCATGATTTGGCCATCATCCTGCCTGGCTCTCTAACCACTTCATTTGCCCCTAAGCATAGATGGATACAGACCTATGCAGCAGTGTGATCACGATACTAGTTTAACTCAGATCAATTCAGAAAGTCACATTTTGTTATATATTAACTCTCTTTAGAGTGTTCCTTAGAAGCCTGGATACTCTAAAAGTTTGTCCAAATATTTTGGAAATGGCAGTGGTAACCATATTACATTTTTTTTTTAACCATCAAAATTTTAAAGGCAGGCATCAGTTACCTGTGGCCACAGGACCCTAAGATTTTTATAAGCAAGACCAGGTCAGTCCTAGAAAAAATATTATCTTACTGTGCATGGAGATTATCTAAAGATAGACCATGTTATGTTAACTATATTTAACATATATTAAAAGGATATTTCTAATTCATTTCTCTACTTACTGCCTACCCAGTTAGGATTTCTCTTTAAGTGAGTACCCTGCCTAGTTCGCTGAAGCTTTTTCTTATTTTCTGGATTCTTTTATTTTCCTTCTATGACATTTTAATACTTTCTTGATTTCTTTTTACTTCTCTTCTGCTTTTCTTATGATCTTCTATTATAGTTTTCGTGAACGGCAGCTAAATATTCCCCATTTTTCTATAGACAAAATCAGAGGTGCATAGAATTTCAGAATGTTAAGAAATCCTAGAGACTAAACAAAATATCCTCTAGTACTTGAATCCTTGCTTAACATCCTGATCAAGTGGTTGTTCAGGTGGAGAACCTGAAACTCAAAGAGAAAAAATTATTTGGATACAGTAAATCAGAGAAATGAGAATTGCACTCAGCTTTCTTTGTTCAAAACCCAGTCTTCTTTTACATTCTGTCATTGAGCGATTTTAGTTTTAGAAAGAGGGAGTGGCTCTAGTGAACACAGTGGAAAAGGATGAGAATGGAATGAGCTGTTGAACCCAATGAAAGTGGATAAGAATGGAATTTGCAGGGGACAGCCAAATTTGAAGAGAAACAAACCCTTAGTTGGATGGAAATGAGGGTTTTAGGAAAAAATCCGAATGTTTGGCTTTATTACAAGTTTGATAAAGATAAGGGAATTGAAAACACAGGATGTCGGGATATTAGAATACGGCATTCAAGGAATTCTGAAGTGGTTGCTGCCTTTTTGTTTGTTTAACTGGAGGAACTGACAAACTTCAAGGTTTTATTGAAAAATGTTAAAAGAATTTGAGCCACTGGAAATAGTCTCCGGAGCAGATAGGAATGTGGTATCATCTTCTTCCATCCCAGCTTACAGAGGCCTTAGAATCCCTCAAGGACTAGGGAGCTGGAGATTGCTTAAGTACATAGATCTGTGACCCAGAGTGGATGTCTCTTTTTTCTGACTCTTTTCTCAATTCTCTCATGTACATGTAGGGTAGGGCAAATGTAGGATTGGCCAGCAAACCAGCAGTGAAGCTTCATTTGGGTAGTTGGTAACATGCGTATGCTTGGGGTGGATGACTGAGACTAACTTACTTTCCAGAAGCAGAGGAATAGAGAGCTCCTACTCTCAATTATGTTAGCCCGTCTTTTGAGGAATCTGGGCTTTCCTAGGCTGAAGATGTAGATTGGAGATTGCCACGGATCCCTGCAGAAGAGGGATCCAGAAGTGGGAGCCCATAGGAAGGAAGATATTTAGATAGTGATGAATGAAATGGAGCTATAAGTACTTAGGAGGGAGACTTTTCCAGCAGTCTCTCTCTTGCGTATCTGAGTGTCTATGAAGGTTCTTAAGCTTGCTGGTTTTTGTGGATCTGAATAAGGCAGGATCTATATAATGACAATAATTGGATTTTAAAATTTTTAATATTTTAAACTTCTGTGAAGAATATTCCCACTAACAACCTAAAAACATATACATTTGTACTTTGACTTTTGTACACTCAGCTTTCAAACATTTTCAGTGTTTCAGGGGGCTCCCTGTAGTGTTCTAGGGTGAAGAGAATCAATGGGCCCTCTTTAAGTACCTTACATGCTGAAGATCCAAGACTCCCATTTTCCAGTGACACAGATTAGTCTTTGAATCAGAAATAAATAATGCAGAAGAGACAGTGCCTTTTCTACCTTGTTTTAGGTTATCAGGTTTACTGCAGTTCAGTAACAAAAGTTGTGTCAGATATCAACTGGATTTTCAGTTTAGCCTTTAGGGTAGATAATTTATAAGGACAAATTATTGTCTGGCCGTGCCGTTATAATGCCTGTCACTATTTGTTATGGGTTTAAGGGTGAGTCTGCATTGGATATTTCATAGGCTGGGAGAGGTGGAGGCAGAAATAGGTAACTGAAATGTTTTCTAAAATGGAAGCCATATCTTAATTATACCAAGAAATATTATTTAATATGCAGATAACTGAGTTTCCTCAGACTTTGTTTTACCATTTTTTTTGGAGGCGACACGCATGTATAGACTGACGGTTTTTGTTTTCTTTGAAAAAATGAACGTGCTCATTTTTGTTGTATCTTTTTGCTCTGTAGGAGTCTCTACAGACCGGATACTGTTGCACAGCCTGTGACAGAGGATGAGTTTGCTTTGGAATCTGCGGTAGAGTACTCTCTTGTGAAATTAATGTTCTCACTCTGAATCTCAGTTTTTATATTATTTTCTTCTAAAACTTAACAGTTGTCTACCTATCATTGTTTTATGTTAGTATTAAAACTTTTATTAGAGATAACCATTTTAAAGAAACGGGAGGGGTTAATTTTATTTTTTTTTTTACTTTGGCAAGTAATAAATAGTTGATAAATTCTTTGAGAGGTGTGATCTGAAAAAAAAATTGCTGGAAAATACACAGTGACAGAAAAATGATGTTTGGGAATGCTTTCCCACAAGAGACGAGATACAAATTTTGGTCTAGGCTTATTTGAGTGTTTTTACTTTGAGTTGTATATCATATGAGTATGACTAATAATACCTCTGTTTAAATGAATCTTTAATACATCAGATGACTTATCATAGAAATCATGGAATCACTCTGTTACACATAGCATGTGGTTTCTTTTTATTTCTTGTACACATGTTTTGATATCATACACTATTTTTGCAGAGAGCTATTTCCTTATTTTTATTTGTGGCTCTATAATTAGACTAAAATCATATTAGAAATTGTGGAAATGTAACTAGACATGGTATCATGTCCATGTAGTCCCACCTATTCAAGAGATCAAGCCAGGAGAATTTCTTGAGCCCAGAAGTTTAAGACCAAGCTTGGCAATATAACAAGAGCTTATCTCTAATTTTAAAAAGTTGTGGAAGTTTAGAAATGTAAATTCTGTTCTCACACCTGTATTAGAGAGGGTTTACACAGTGTTTTCCAAGGCTTTTTTATTTAGAGTATACTTTAAACTCTTTATTTAATTGAAAAATATGCATTTTGTTTAAAATAACCTCTCTGATAAACAGAGACTCTTCATATTCCTATGGTCAGACTTTAATTTCACAAGGCTTTTGAATTGTAATTAAAAAGAATCCACTCAGGGTCTTTGTATCTCATTCTAAATTTCAAATTTCAGAGGCTTTTGTGCTTAGTTATTGAAAAAATAATTGTAAAGCTCCTGCATTACTACCAGCAACTTGAAACTAGAAAACCTATTTGTATGTATCCTGGAATACACAGAATAAGATCTTGCATGTAAGAAACATTTTAATAGTTTTTAATGTGAATCAACAAACAGGCAAATGGGCTTTTTTATAATAGAATCTTACAGGTAACATAATATGCATGACATATTTAATAATTAAATCTATTAAATTTCTTGAGTGTTTTGAATTTATCTCTTCTTCTAATGTTGAGAATGTATAAGTTGAGGTGACTCATGTTGAGAAAATATGTCATATAGAAGAAAATAAAATTTAGAAAAGATGAAAAGGAAATAGGAAATGTGGATACAGCCTGTTTTCTAATATCTTCCAACTGGAAGCTTAGATTAGGATTTTAGATTAAATTTTCTTAAATTTTTAAAGACCCAATCATGTTCTATTAAATACCTGTTTTTCAGGACATACATTACTCTTTCAAATTCTGAATAAAAATTATTTCTCCAGCTGTTAAGTTGCTGGAAATTTTTTTTCCCTCTCTCTCTCTGTAGTAAGAATGTTTCAACTTTCAGATCAATCATCATGGTTAACTCTTGGGATGTGTTATTTTATAGTAAACAAATGAAACTCTTTCTTACATAAGTATTTACACAAAACAAATTGTCGAGTAAATGCTAACCAGTATTATTAAGCATATATTATGAACACAAGGTCTTCTTTTAAGCTCATATTTGATTGACTGGTCATGTCTCTTTTTTTGTTTGTTTCTCCCTCCTTCCCCTTTCTTTAAAAATGATTTACCTCAGTCTAACTTTCTCCTTGCAGCCCACATGTCTTTAGTGTCTATTCTTTCATTTCACTTCTGTTTCTATTGTCAGGATACTTAGTTACAGCTTTCTATTTAGTAGCTATGTGTGGCCTTCATTCATGAATCATTGCTCCGTAAGGTGGATGGTTGCTTTGTTCTGTCTTTTTTGGAAGGAGCTTAAGTTATACTATAATTTGTTTTTAGCTTTTGACACACTGAATAGAAGCAACTTGTACTGTTTCTGATGCCAACCCATTTAAATATAGTACTACTAAAAACTACATTCTCACATTTTTTCCCACAAAATGAAATTTGCACAAATATACACCATTCATAGCTATTTTGAAAAATAATGTGATTTACTTTTTTATTATTAGTTTTATTCGCTAATACTCTAAATTACATAGGGTACATTTTTGTCCTAGTTTGTTGTGGCTAATAAAAGAAACTAATGGATATCATAGTATTTGTATAATAATCAACTGGGGTTGAAAGGAGTAACATTTTGAAAATATCTGTCTCACCAATCATAACCATCATGCCATGTGAATCTGTAGATAAGTAAATGGCAGACTTGAGGTTTGAATCTACATATGAGTGACTTCAACGTCCATACTTTTCCTGTTAAATCATGTAGTAATGGTGGGTATTATCATTATTTTAACTTGCCCCATGTTACTCTTAAACCTATTGTGTTTTTCTTCTAGACTATTTCAAAACTATACATCCCAGAGAGAAGGATTATTTCTCTATGATCGATAGAAGATGGTAAGCTATTTGAAGCCTGCCTATTGCAGTATTTACTGATTCTTCATTTGTTTTTTGTTTTTTTTCTTTTTTAAACACAGTCTTACTAGTCTGCAGCCCAGGCTGGAGTGCAGTGGTGCGATCTTGGGTCACTGCAGCTTCCACCTCTTGGGTTCAAGTGATTCTCCTGCCTCAGCCTCCCAACTAGCTGGGATTACAGGTGCGCACCACCACACCTGGCTAATGTTTGTATTTTTAGTAGAGATGGAGTTTCACAATGTTGTCCAGGCTGGTCTCAAACTTTTGACCTCAAGTGATTCCCCTGCCTAGGCCTCCCAAACTGCTAGGATTACAGGTGTGACCCACAACACCAGGCCTTGTTGATTATTATTATTATTTTTATAAGGATAGAGTCTTGCTATTTTGCCCAGGCTGGTCTCAAACTCTTGGGCTTCTCAAGTTATACTTCTGCCTCAGCCTTCTGAGTAGCTGGAATTATAGGAACAAGACACTGTGTTCTTTTATGTTTTTAGTACTCTGTAGTTTTCTATTGTTGATTTAAAATGCATTTTACTTTTTCTTTCATAGTGCTTCCTCCTGTTGAAGAGTGTTTTGACAGGTATGATTTCACAGATTTTTTAAAGTGATATGTTAACTAAGTGAATAGAGAGAATAGAAACTAGTATCTGTTTAGTGTTCTACTCTGTGCTAGACACCATATTACATGCTTAACATTTATCATGTCATGTCATCTTCACACAGCTTTACAAACTATTTGTGCTATTATTCCTTTTTTACTAATAATAGACAACTCTGCTTTAAAGAGGTTGAAATATTGGCTCATGATTCCACAGTTAACAGGTAGCCAACCCAGGATTAGACCATCATCCTGCCTGGCTCTCAAATCACTTCATTTGCCCCTAAGCATAGATGGATAGAGGCCTATGCAGCAATGGGATCACGGTACTGATTTACATCGGATCAATTCAGAAAGTCGCATTTGGTTATATATTAACTGTCTTTAGAGTGTTATTTAGAAGCCTGGCTACTCCAAAAGTTTGTCCAAATATTTTGAAATGGCAGTGGTAACCATATTACTTTTTTTTTTTAATCATCAAAGTTTTAAAGGCAGTTATCAGTTATCTGTGGCCACAGGACCCTAAGTTTTTCATAAGCAAGACCAGGCCAGTCCTAGAAAAATATTATCTTACTGTGCTTGGAGAATATCTAAATATAGTCCATGTTATGTTAACTATATTTAGCATATATTAAAAGGATATTTCTAATTCATTTCTCTACTTACTACCTACCCAGTTAGGTTTTCTCTTTCAGTAAGTACCCTGCCTGGTTCTCTGAAGCTTTTTCTTATTTTCTGGATTTTTTTTTTCCTTCTGTGACATTTTAATAATATTTTCTTGATTTCTTTTTACTTTCTCCTCTGCTTTTCTTAGGGTTTATGATCTTCTATTATAGTTTTCATTTAAGGCAGCTAAATATTCCCCATTTTCCTATAGACAAAATCGGAGGCGCATAGAATTTCAGAATGTTAAGAAATCCTAGAGACTAAACAAAATATCCTCTAGTACTTGAATCCTTGCTTAACATCCTGATCAAGTGGTTGTTCAGGTGGAGAACCTGAAACTCAAAGAGAGAAAATTATTTGGATACAGTAAATCAGAGAAATAAGAATTGCACTCAGGTTTCTTAGTTCAAAACCCAGTCTTCTTTTACATTATTCTGTCATTGAGTGATTTTAGTTTTAGAAAGAGGGAGTGGCTCTAGTGAACACAGTGGAAAAGGATGAGAATGGAATGAGCAGTTGAACCCAATGAAAGTGGATAAGAATGGAATTTGCAGGGGACAGACAAATTTGAAGATGTAGATTGGAGATTGCCATTGATCCCTGCAGAAGAGGGATCCAGAAGGGGGAACCCATAGGAAGGTATTTAGATAGTGATGAATGAAATGAAGCTGTATGTACTCAGGAGGGAGACTTTTCCAGCAGTCTCTCTCTTGAGTATCTGAGTGTTTATGAAGATTCTTAAGCTTGCTGGTTTTTGTGGACCTGAATAAAGCAGGATCTATATAATGACAATAATTGGATTTTATAATTTTTAATGTTTTAATCTTCTGTGAGGAATATTCCCAGAGTACATTTGTACTTTGACTTTTTTACATTCAGCTTTCAAACACTTGCAGTGTTTCAGGGGGCTCCCTGTAGAGTTCTAGAGTAAAGAGAATCAATGGGCAATCTAAGTAGCTTACATGCTGAAGATCCAAGACTCCCATTTTCCTGTGACACAGATTAGTCTTTGAATCAGAAATAGATAATGCAGAAGACACAGTGCCTTTTCTACCTTGTTTTAGGTTATCGGGTTTACTGCAGTTGAGTAACAAAAGTTGTTTCAGATATCAATTGGATTTTCAGTTTAGTCTTTAGGGTAGATAATTTATAAAGACAAATTATTGTCTGGCCGTGCCACTGTAATGCCTGTCACTATTTGTTATGGGTTTAAGGGTGAGTCTGCATTGGATATTTCATAGGGTGGGAGAGGTGGAGGCAGAAATAGGTAACTGAAATGTTTTCTAATACAGAAGCCATATCTTAATTATACCAAGAAATATTATTTAATATAAGGATAACTGACCTTCCTCAGACTTTGTTTTACCATTTTTTTGTGGAGGGGACATGCATGTATAGACTGATGGTTTTTGTTTTCTTTTAAGAAACGAACGTGCTCAATTTTGTCTCATATCTTTTTGCTCTGTAGGTGTCGCTACATACTGGATAGTGTTGCACAGCCTGTGACAAAGGATAAGTTTGCTTTGGAATCTGAAGTAGAGTACTGTCTCGTGAAATTAATTTTCTCATTCTGAATCTCATTTTTTGTATTATTTTCTTCTAAAACTTAGCGATTGTCTACCTATCATTGTTTTATGTTAGTATTAAAACTTTTATTAGAGATAACCATTTTAAAGAAATAGGAGGGGTTAATTTTAATTTTTTTTTCACTTTGCAAATAAGAAATAGTTGATAAATATGTTGAGAGGTGTGATCTGAAAAAAAAAATACATAGTGACAGAAAGATGTTGTTTGGGAACGCTTTCCCAAAAGAGAGGAGATACAAATTTTGGTCTAGGCTTATCTGAGTAAGTGTTTTTACTTTGAGTTGTATATCATATGAGTATGACTAATAATACCTCTGTTTAAATGAATGTTTGTTACATCAGATGACTTATTATGGGAATCATGGAATCACCCTTTACACACAGCATATAGTTTCTTTTTATTTCTTGTACACCTATTTTAACATCATACTGTATTTTTGCAGAGAGCTATTTCTTTATTTTTATTCTTGGTTCTATATAATTAGACTAAAATAATATTAGAAATTGTGGAAATTTAACTAGACATGGTATCATGTGCCTGTAGTCCCACCTATTCAAGAGATCAAGCCAGGAGAATTTCTTGATCCCAGGAGTTTAAGACCAAGCTTGGCAATATAGCAAGAGCATATCTCTAATTTTAAAAAGTTGTGGAATATTAGAAATTTAAATTCTGTTCTCACACCTGTATTAGAGAGGGTTTACCCTGTGTTTTCCAAGTCTTTTTTATTAAGAGTATACTGTAAACTCTTTATCTAATCGAAGAATATGCATTTTGTTTAAAATAACAACCTGTTTGATAAGCAGAGACTCTTCATATCTCTGTGGTCAGACTTTAACTTCACAAGATTTTTGCATTGTAATTAAAAAAAAATCCGCTCGGGGTCTTTGTATCTCATTCTAAATTTCAAATTTCAGAGGCTTTTGTGCTTAGTTATTGAAAAAATAATTGTAAAGCTCCTGCATTCATATGAGCCACTTGAAGCTAGAAAAACTATTTGTATGTATCTTGAGTACCCAGAATAAGGTCTTGCATGTAAGAAACATTTTATTAGTTTTTAATGTGAATCAGCAAACAGGGAAATGGCCTTTTTTTAATGGAATGTTACAGGTAACATAATATGCATAAGATATCTAATAATTAAGTCTATTAAATGTCTTGAATGTTCTGAATTTATCTTTTCTTCTAATGTTGAGAATCTATAAGTTGAGGTGAGTTACGCTGAGAAAATATGTCATAGAATAAAATGAAAATTGGAAGAGATGGAAAGGAAATAGGAAAGGTGGATACAGCGTGTTTTCTAATATCTTCCAACTGGAAGCTTAGATTGGGATTTTAGATTAAATTTTCAAAGCCCCAACCATGTTCTATTAAATACATATTTTTCAGGACATACATTACTCTTTTGAATTCTGAATAAAAATTCTTTCTCCAGGTGTTAAGTTCCTGGAATTCTATTGTTTTTTTTTTTCCTCTCTCTGTCTCTCTCTCTCTCTCTCTCTCTCTCTTTGTAGTAAGAATGTTTCAGCTTTCAGGTGAATGATCATGGTTAACTCTTGGGATGTGTTATTTTATAGTAAACAAACTAAACTTTTTATTACATAAGTATTTACACAAAACAAATTGTCGAGTAAATGCTAACCAGCATTATTAGGCATATATTATGAACACAAGCTTTTCTTTTAAGCTCATATTTGATTGACTGGTCATGTCTCTTTTTTTGTTTGTTTCTCCCTCCTTCCCCTTTCTTTAAAAATGATTTACCTCAGTCTAACTTTTTCCTTGCAGACCACATGTCTTTAGTGTCTATTCTTTCATTTCACCTCTGTTTCTGTTGTCAGGATACTTAGTTACACCTTTCTATTTAGTAGCTATGTGTGGCTTTCATTCGTGAATCATTGCTCCATAAAGTGGATGGTTGCTTTATTCTGTCTTTTTTGGAAGGAGCTGAAGTTATACAATAATTTGTTTTTAGCTTTTGACACACAGAATAGAAGCAACTTACACTGATTCCGATGCTAGCCCATTTAAATATATTACTACTAAAAAATACATTCTCACATTTTTTTCCCACAGGAAGTAATTCACACAAATATATATCATGCATAAATATTTTGAAAACTAAAGTGATTAATTGACTTTTTATTAGTTTTGTTCAGTAATACTCTAAATTACGTATGAGTAAATTTTTGTCCCAGTTTGTTGTGGTTAATAAAAGAAACTAATGGATATCATAGTATTTGTATAATAATCAACCGGGGTTGAAAGGAGTAACATTTTGAGAATATCTGTATCACCAATCATAATCATCATCTCATGTGAATCTGTAGATACGTAAATGGCAGACTTGAGGTTTGAATCTACTTATGAGTGACTTCAAAGTCTATCCTTTTTGTGTTAGATCATGTAGTAATGGTGGCAATTATCATTATTTTAACTTGCTGCATGTTGTTCTTAAACCTATTGTGTCTTTCTTCTAGACTATTTCAGAACCATACTTTACGAACAGAAGGACTATTTCTCAACAATCTGCAGAAAAGTGTAAGCTATTTGAAACCTGACTATTGTATTATCTACTGATTCTTTTTTTTTTTCTTTTTCTTTCTTATTTTTTTGTAGACAGAGTGTTACTCACTGTTGCCCTGGCTGGAGTGCAGTGGCATGATCTTGGCTCACTGCAAATTCCACCTCCTGGGTTCAAGTGATTCTCCTGCCTCAGCCTCCTGAGTAGCTGGTATTACAGGTGTGCACCACCACACCTGGCTATTTTTGTATTTTTGGTAGAGATGGAATTTCACCATGTTGGCCAGGCTGGTCTTGAACACCTGACCTCTTGTATGATCTGCCTGCATGGGCCCGCAAAAGTGCTGGGATTAAAGTTGTGAGCCCCCACACCCGGTTCTTATTTATTGATTCTTAATTACACGCATTTCATCTACTCTTGACTTTGTTTTTACTGTAGTAGATGCTGCATGTGGCATTGAAAAAACAAAATATGGAACCTTTTTTTGAAGACCAAAATGTTGATAAGGTAAATGAAGATGTGGTTAAAAGCCAACATAGAATAATCAGAGTCGAGTCCTGTTCACCAACTCACTCTTATCTGTTAATGATCTCTAGTTTTACAATGGTAAATTGTTTTATTTGGAAAATATTTTTCCCATGCTTTATTCACTTGCCATCTCCCTGTCTTTATAACAATGACAAGGATCCTATAAAGGAATGGAAGTTCTCCAGGTAATAATAGAAAAGAAGTGTAACAACACGGGAAATATATGCATGGGACCAGGATTCCTAAAAGGTCATGGGAGTAAATGATTGTTAGGTTTGCCATTAGGGAAGGAAAGAAGTAGAAAGAAACCTGAAAGAACAGCTCCACAAATACAAAGGTGAAGAGGGGAAAGAAGTAAGAAAACAGAGTTGAATAAGAGTGTCAAGATGACAAAGATTAGTATAAAACACCTCAAAAACGGTGAATTTAAATGACAGTAGAATGTCTCCATATCATATTATAGAATTATTTTAAATATAGATTAGGAAAAGAAAGCCAAGTAATTAAAATAATGCTCAGATTCTTCTGAGTGACTTACGGGTGATTTTAATAAAGGATTGGAAGAAAATTTATGGGTGACTATATTTAACATTCTGTTTAACATTTAAAAATAGCCAGGAGAGAATAACTTGAATATTTCTAGTTTAAATAAAACATACATATTTAACGTAATGTGTATCTCTGTTACCCTCATTAGATTATATAGATGGAACAAATCATCACACGTACACTGAAAATATATGCATCTATTTATTAATTTAAAAATTCTAAATGGAAAGAAAATTTAATCCTAACTTTTTAAAATTTCAGTAAAGTGATGTCTCATATTTTATCTAGTGAATATTGTGTTCATAGATCATGCAAAGTAAAATGTGTTTTAGGCTATATCAGATTTTGAATGAATCATTAATTTTTGACTCCTGTTAAAAGTTTTTTAAAGTAATATTTGGTATATTCCCAAGTTGCTTAACTAATTTATTTCACTTTTACATCATCTTGGCAGCTGTTTTAGCCTTTTTTTGATAATAGAGAAAATAAATAAGTAATTAAATAAAAAATAAAAAATAATAAAAATTAATTAATACATAAATTAATAAAAATTAAAATTTCTGGTTAATTTTTTTTTTTTTTGAGAGGGAGTATCGCTCTGTCGCCCAGGCTGGAGGGTGGTGGGTGATCTCGGCTCACTGTAAGGTCCACCTCCCGGGTTCATGCCATTCTCCTGCCTCAGCCTCATGAGTAGCTGGGACTATAGGTGTCCGCCATCACGCCTGGCTAATTTTTTAAATATTTTTAGCAGAGACGGGGTTTCACTGTGTTAGCCAGGATGGTCTCGATCTCCTAACCTCATGATCTGCCCACCTCGGCCTCCCAAAGTGCTGGGATTACAGGCGTGAGCCACCACACCTAGCCATTTCTGGTTAATTTTAAAGGAGGTTTCTAATTTATGTTCATTGAATGAGAAATAATATCTTTTTAACCTGGAACCCTCTTAAAGAAATAAATTATTACTTATTTCTGGAGCTAGTCTGACTAACCTTGTGCTGATAACGTCTGTACTTAAGAACATACATGTGATGAATGCAGTCAACACTCATGATTGTTTTCTAAACAAAGTACCTATTTTGATAGAATCGTAAGGAAAGAAATATTGCCAACAGTACACAGAATTATCTCTGGAATATTACTTTTTACTTTTAAAACTATCTCCTACAGTTGGGACATTTTGTATTATTCTCTGGAAACATTATTAACTTTAGTATTTATAGTTATACCTTGCACATAAATTTATTCAGCTCTAAAACTCAGGAATCCTTTTGACTTGATGTTTAAAATAAATTTCTTCTCTCTTCATGTGAGTATTGGGTCATGATTGACAGGCATAGTGTATTTGAAGACAAGTAAGTCTTCAGCTTGCATAGTCATATGATTATTTTACTTGATCCTTTCTCTGATTTTTAACTATTATCTTTATGGCATAAGTAGGCAATTAGAGCTATTAGTATATCATTTCAGGAGAATCAGAAAACCATATGAACTTTAAAATAGATTTTGCATTTCTCTCTTATATGTTAGTAGCACTTAAAATGCCTTATAATTCTATAATAGAATAAACATTTGTGCAAGTTAAAAACTTTTAAGATGATTTTTTGAAAATGAGCTTTCTTAGGACACCTTGACTTACTGGTTTAGATAACTGTTTTCATGAAGTTCAAAAATGCAGATGACCATAATATTCCAGAAATAAATATCTGCATACATTTAGAAAATATATTTTATATCTTTTAATCCAGTATAGAAATATATAATTGAAATTTTGAATCCCATGTTTTCTTTTTATTTTCAAAACTTCAGGGTTCTACATAGGTTTAAATTATTGAATCCTACCAGTTCAGTATACTTTACAAATGTTGACCTTCTCAACAACATATGGTTTTTTTGAGTGAGGTCATCTATTTCTACTCCAAATGTATTTACCCAGATCAGTCTTCTAAGTCCCCTTTGTGCCTCAAATTTAATAGGTCTCAAACTGCCTTCCAGATTCTTTCCTGACTCTTTGTAATCTATGCTGTCATCTCACTTCTCAATTTTAGTAAATAACACCAAGAAGGTAGCAATGAAACATTGAAGCACAAAAACTGCACTCCAGGTTTCCCTCACATTGCCAATCCAGTGACTCACCAATTTTTGTATTTTCTACCTTTAACCATTTCTCATATCTTATTACTGTAATACACTGTCGGCCCTATACTTTTGGAATGTTCGTTTTTGTTTCTTTCTTCTCCCCATGTTTATCTATCTATATATGTCTTTCAGGGTGACCTTTCTTAAACATGTTTACTTTGATCTAAGTCATCTGTTTATGGCTGGACCCTCATTACATGAAACAAACATTTACATTCTAGCATAACACTTATTTTGTGGTTTGGCCTGTTTCTCCCATTTTATCTCTCCACTTCACTTTCTCTGTCTGTGTCCAAGTTTTACCACGTTATTGTGGTATTTCTTATTGGCTATGCTGTTTCATGCTTTATTTTTTTGCACATGCTGCCCTCACTAGAAACACTTCACACTCTTACTCTTCCCTTGTCTACTTTAAAAATAGAACCCTAAATTTGCAGTTTCTCAGAAGCTTCCCAAGTAGAATTAAGTGTTATTGCCTTTGTGCTATCACTGTATTTTATTGATTTGAATTGTAGAAATAATGAATTGTGTCTTTCTGCTTTTGTTTGTTTTTATAAATTTCTTTTTTCACTTGATAAATAAATACAATTTGTATTTTATTCATATTATCAGATTTTCCAGTATAGATCTTATGAATTTATAGACACGGAAAATGTTTCTTGAATTACTGACTGATTAAGTAGTAAATATGACATTTTCTGAAGATTTCTTTTTTTTTTTTAATAGGAAAGAAAAGCACTACCAGCAACTGGACAAAAAGCAAATGGTATTGGTATTATAAAAAGTGCTCCATGAGAGCAATCAAATAATGATAATGTTGTATTTTGTGTACAATAAAAGATGGTGAGGTAGTGAATATAGCTGAATAATTTTCTATGCTTTAATAATATAATTTTTGAAAATAAATATAACTAATTTAAATATAATTTAAAATAAATTTAAAATTAAATTAATTGTTAAATTACATTAAATTATAAGCCTAATTTTAATTAAATTATAGTTATAATTTATTAATTTTAATAGTAAATATAATTTAATTTAAACATACTTTTTCTTAAAACTTTGGTGAACACTTAAATTTATAGATCAAAATATAATATTCATTGTTGAGAAATGGACATTAGTGTATTTACAAAAAAATGTGAGGTGGGATTGTGTAAATTAAGAAAGCAGCTGGCTAGGTATTTGGAGGTTTCTGATGAGGAAACTTAAGGGAACTCACTTTATGTAGACTCAGTATATTCCCACTCAAAGAGAAGATTAAATGATTGCTGCTTTGGAGCTTACTGGAGGCAGAGGGTAGAAGAATGACAGGAAACCACAGAAACTCATTTCTTCTCTCTATAGGGGTTACACATCAATGATATGTGCTTCATTCATGTTTGTTAGTGAACTGGGATGCACTTGGATATCAAAACATTGGCAGTTTTCTTTAAAACAATGCTGTTTTTGATGAAATAGCCATTGTATAAAAGTACCTCAGAGGCTGCTATGCTATAGCATATCAAACTGACTAGAAAAAAAACAAAAGAGAAATTTATTTCTTTAGTACTAAAAGTGTAACTGTCAATAATCATGGCAAATATTTTGATATGTAAAAGTTGATTAAGCCGGGCGCGGTGACTCACGGCTGTAATCCCAGCACTTTGGGAGGCTGAGGCGGGAGGATCACGAGGTCAGGAGATGGAGACCATCCTGGCTAACATGGTGAAACCCCATCTCTACTAAAAATACAAAAAATTAGCCAGGCGTGGTGGCATGTGCCTGTAGTCCCAGCTACTAGGGAGCCTGAGGCAGGAGAATCACTTGAACCCGGGCGGCGGAGGTTGCTGTGAGCCGAGATTGTGCCACTGCACTCCAGCCTAGGTAACAGAGCAAGACTCCATGTCAAAAAAGAAAATTGATTAGTATGAAAAAAAAGTCAATGGTGATTCAGAGATTTTTGGTTACATTTTGTAAATGAAAATCTGAGTACTCATTACTTATTTAATGTGTAACATATACTTTTTTTGCATAAGGGAATGAAAAGATGGCAAGAGAACTAAAGTTGAGAATCCAGAAGTTGAAAATATCAGAAGTCTTCATGACTGTGGATAACATGAGTATTTTTAGAAACGATTTTTCTCCAAGTAGATATCTAAACTAATGATTGAGAGCATTTCCTGCCAGCAGAAGCGAATGATACATTTTCTTTTCTTTTTTTTTTGAGACGGAGTCTCGCTCTGTCACCCAGGCTTGAGTGCAGTTGCGGGATCTCAGCTCACTGCCAACTCCGCCTCCCGGGTTCTCGCCATTATCCTGCCTCAGCCTCCTGAGTAGCTGGGGCTACAGGCGCCTGCTACCAAGCCCAGATACTTTTATGCATTTTTAGTAGAGATGGGGTTTCACGGTGTTAGCCAGGATGGTATCGATCTCCTGACTTCGTGATCTGCCCGCCTCGGCCTCCCAAAGTGCTGGGATTACAGGCGTGAGCCACCGCGCCCGGCCGCGAATAATACATTTTCATGCTCTCTCATTGCAACTTCATAGTTTCTAACATTTATTCTTCTGGGGTCCGCTTTGGTTCTCTCATTTGACGTCACTTTTTTTGGCTTCATCCAGCAGATTCACATTCGTAGAAACACTTTTCTATGTTACTTGTAGTTATGTGAAACCTAATCTCACCCTTGCAATCTGGACTGCATGTTTTATAGAATCTATATTGTGATTTTTCATGTGTATATTCCTGTCACGTTTGTGTGTTAACCAAAACAAGAGCAAAGCAACCCAAAGCCTAATGGGTAACAATTTCAAGGGCAAGGACGAAGATTTCAGCTGGATACAAACACTGCATGATTGATGGTAGGCTGTGTCATATTTCCCTGTAGTCAATTTTGTGTTCCTTTTGTTTTGTAGTGTCTCCTGAGTAACCGCCTTTATTCACTGTAAGCATATTTTCTTTAATTATTAACAAAATGCTCTGTGATATATACATGATATCTTAATCATTATGTTGTCAAACCCATTCAGCATACGGTGAAAGACAGAGATCACATTTCAACTAGATTCTTAGGAAGTATGGATTCACCAACTTCCAGTGAAGATAAATTTGCCACTACAAATTTCATTCTGGAAAATGTAGATGAAAATATTGAAAATGCTCATAGTTTTTTGATTCCCACTTTTTATCCAAATGAGATGGAAGGATTTGATGTAAATATGCTGATGTTCTTGTTAATATCTTTGTTTATAAAATGATATTTAAGGCATAAGGCGGACATTTTACACCATGAGCTCTAGCCCAAATGCTTTTCCTTTAAAGTTGTCATCATCTGAAGATCCCAGTTTTGAATTCCTGTGCATGTTAGGGATTTGAGGAGGTGTATTTTGACACTAAGTATTTTCAGTGCTTCAAAATTGATTGCAATACTCTTCTCTCTTCTTCACCTAGAGAAAATCTATACCTGCTGACGTTACAATTGTTTTAGAACTTCAACTCCTTTATGTCAGTGTTGTTACGTTGAGAATCTTTACTTAATCACATCTTCTGATTACCAGATTGAGTTTCTGCATGTGTATGTGTGTGTGCATCTCAGATTAAGAATGAATAAAATGATTAATCATTCTTTTGTAACTCTTTGGTAGATACAGTGTTTTAAAACAATGATTCTGAGCTGTTTTGGCCTTAGAATATTTTCTTCTACTACAATTTATTGCCTACAGGTAACCAACAGCCTGAATTAATGTTTTTTACTTTTAAGTCACTGCAATGCACATTAAAAATACTTTACAAGATACTTGCACTTTCATAGGTAATATGTAGAATCTGTTTCCAAGTATCAAGTCTTCTATATGATTTCACACAGCGTACATAATAGCTGCAACTCGGCTTTCCTAATCAGTGGTATATATTTTGGATCTATCCAGGTTGACACAATTTGTTCATCTTTGATTTGTTGTATGTTCTTGTGGTATGCCATTTTATGACTGCACCACAATTAATTAAAGTCTCTTCATGCTGATACAAAATGAACATAAATATGATGACATGCCAACATAGATTTGCTTATGTGGTTGTCTTTATTGATTTGTACTATATAAGAAATTAAATAGAAGTATTTCACATACCCTGAGTATAGCTGTATACACTGCCATAGCTGTATTGAATACATTCATTACCCCTTAGAGTCATGTTTTTCCATCATGTGATGACTCTGAAAAACTCTAGTGTATGCTTTTCAGAGAATGACTTTGGAAAGAAGAAATGGCCAAAGTATCATTTGGTACCTTGGCTTCCTTACATAGATGTTGAACTCCAAGAATGATCAAATCACAGTTTAGAACCCCTTTGTTGGGCCCTATAAAGGGTTTCCGGATATCAAATGATAAATAGTCTCCAGATGAAGAAATGCTCTATAACACCCCACCGCTGTGTTTTCCTATATTTTGTCCTTTTCTGAAAACTTTAAATACACGAATTTTTGGTAGAAATGAAAATCTTTCTGTTTTACATATTTGTTTCTGTCCATGGCACTCTGATATCTTTGAATCTGGTGAGGATATAGCCTTGTCTTATTTATACCAGCAAGCAGTGTTGTCACTTAATGCTCTCATTTTTCACGTAAAGGACTGACATTTTCCCAACTCTTCACAAGTGATTTTTGAAGACGTTGCTGCATTGAGCAGAGACTATGTCATTGTAATTGCAGAAGTTTTTAAATTAAATATGTTTAATAAAATTTTAGAGCCTGTTTCTGTGGAACACATAACACATAATGGTGTAATGTGTATTTAACCATAAATTAGCTTCACAAAAATGTGTGTACTTAAAAGTGTTTATATCCAAAGAAATTCTTATTTACTGCTCAGTAATCTCTTGTGTAGAAGAAAATATGTAACATAGTTTGCTGAGTCTTTGATAATAACCCCCAGTGTAAAATAAAGCCGTAAAGATGAAATGAGAGTTGATACTCAATGAAACTGATGTGAGTGAATACAAACTATGAAACTGTGTCTAGGGGAGAGAGGAGGACATGGGGCTGCTATTGTGAAGAAGGAATTTGTACAAGTTAGTCCATTTTCTGTAACTTTTATATTCTAATAAAGGAAAACCATATCTTCATATTTATAAAAATGGGATTTTACTGGTTTGATCACAAGGGTGGTGAGAATAATGAAGAACAAAATGTGGAAGGCAAAGAATGAAGACCAGATAGTGAGATTAGATTTATCAACAAAAAAGAGTGCAAGTGGGGTGGGATGTTGTAAATAAAGATAGCAGCTGGCTAGGTGTTTGGGGGTTTCTGATGAGGAAACCTGAGAAAACTCACTTTATGTGGACCTGGTATATTCGCAGTCGAACAGAATATTGGATTATTGTTGCTTCAGAGCTTAATGGAAGCAGAGGTGGAAGAATGAGTAAACCACAGGGACTCAATTCTTCTCTCTGTAGGGGTAACACATCGACAATAGGATAGGTGCTTCATGTTAGCAAAATGCGATGCAGTGCATGTCAAACTGTGGAAGCAAAACAATCAAGAAATAAATTTCTTAAGTATTATTTATTTATTTATTGTTATTATACTTTAAGTTTTAGGGTACATGTGCACAACGTGCAGGTTTGTTAAAATGTAACTGTCAATGATCATGGCAAATATTTTGATATATAAAAGGTGATTAACACGAAAAAAGCCTCTGATATTTCAAATACTTTGGTTAGATTTGTTTTATGGGAATCTAATTACATATTAGGTATTTGGAGTGTAATGTATACATTTCTTGCATAAGTGAATGAAGAGATGGCAGGAGGGCTATAGTTGAGAATCCAGGAAATGGAAAAACACCAGAAGTCTGCATGACTGTGGACAACATGAGTATTTTTATTAACTATGCTTCTGTATGTAGATATCTGAACTAATGAATTGAGAATACATCCTGCAAGCAGAAGGGAATGATACATTTTAATGAAATTGATAGTTTTTAAGTGAGAGGACAAAATGAAGAACAGGAAAACTATTGTAGTATTGTAGTATAAATGGTTCTTGGGTGATTTCTTCAGGGTACACCATAGCGTTCTACCATGGGCTTTGACATTTATCCTTCTGGGGTCCTTTCATTTGACATCACATTTTTTGGCTTCAGTTAAGAGAATCACATTGGTAGAAGTACTTCCTTGTGTTAGTTGTAGTCATGTGAAACCTAATCTCTCTCTTGAAAACTGGACTACATGTTTTATGAAAACTTAATTATGTGTCCCTTTTGCTTTGTAGAATCTTCTGAGCGACCTCCTTTATCCACAGTAAACAAATATATTTTCGTTTTTAATTAACAAAATGCTTTGTGATATATACATGATATATTAATCAATTAATCATTATGTTGTAAAACCCATTCAGCTTACTCTGAAAGAGGCAGATCCCAGTTCAAAAGTAGCTATGAGAAGGAAGGATTCACCACCTCCAGGAAAAGGTAAATTTGCCAATACAAATTTCATCTGGAAAGAAGGACATGAATATATTGGAAATGTTCATAGTCTTCTGATTCTTATTTCTTTTACCCCAGTAAGATAGAAGGATTTGATCTAAATGATGCTGATGCTGTTGTTAGTGTCTATGATTATAAAATGATATTTAGAAGAACAAGGAAAAGAAATGTTTAAAATGTGAGCTCTAGCTCCGATGCTTTTCCTTTTAGGTTGTGATAAATATCCAATGTGGAATTTGTATGCATGTTAGGGGTTCAAGGAGGTGAATTTTGAAACTATAAATATTTTTCAGTGTTTCAATTTCTGGTTGCAATACTGTCCTTTACCTAGAGAAAAGCTATACCAGCTGACATTACAATTGTGTTAGAACTTCAACTTCTTTATGTCGGTGTTGCCACACTGAGAACCTTCAAATCCTCACCCAGTCACATGCTCTGATTACCAGCTTTTGAATTTCTGCATGTGTATGTGCGTGTGTGCTTTTGTTTGTGAGTTTGGGTGTGTGTGATACCTCTGATTCTGGAAAATGAATAAAGTCATTAATCATTTTTTGGTGACTCTTTGGTAGATACAGGGTTTTAAAGCAATGATTCTGAGCTGTTTTAGCCTTAGAATCTTTTCTACTACTACAATTCATTGCCTACAGGTAACCAACAACCTGAATTAATGTTGGTTTGTTTGTTTTGTATTATACCATAAGTTCAGGGATACATGTGAAGAACATGCAGGTTTTTTACATAGGCATACATGTGCCATCGTGGTTTACTGTACCCATCAACCCATCAGCTACATTAGGTATTTCTACTAATACTATCCCTCCCCTAGGACCCCAACCCCCTGACAGGCCCCGGTGTGTGATGTTCCCCTCCCTGTGTCCATGTGTTCTCTTTGTTCAACTCCCACTTACGAGTGAGAAAATGTGGCGTTTGGTTTTCTTTTCCTGTGTTAGTTTGCTGAGAATGATGGTTTCAGGCTTCATCCATGTCTTTGCAAAGGACATGAACTCATCCTTTTTTATGGCTGCATAGTATTCCATGATGTGTATATGCCACATTTTCTTTGTCCAGCCTATCACTGATGGGCATGCAGGTTGGGTCCAAGTCTTTGCTATTGTGAATAGTGCTGCAATATACATACATGTGCATGTGTCTTTAGAGTAGAATGATTTTTAATCTTTGGGGTATGTATTCAGTAATGGGATTGCTGGGTCAAATAGTATTTCTGGTTCTAGATCCTTGAAGAATCACCACACTGTCTTCCACAGTGGTTGAAATAATTGACACTCCCACCAACAATATAAAAGTGTTCCTATTTCTCCACATCCTCTCCAGCATCTGTTGTTTCCTGACTTTTTAATGATCACCGTTCTAACTGGCGTGAGATGGTATCTCATTGTGGTTTTGATTTGCATTTCTCTAATGTTCAGTGATGATGAGCCTTTTTTTCATATGTTTACTGGCTGAATAGATGTCTTCTTTTGAGCATATCCTTCACCCACTTTTTGATGAGGTTGTTTGTTCTTTTCTCATAAATTTGTTTAAGTTCCTTTTAGATTCTGGATATTAGCCTTTTGTCAGATGGAGAGATTGCAAACATTTTCTCCTGTTCTGTGGGTTGCCTGTTCACTCTGATAATGGTATTGGAAGTTCTGGCCAGGGCAATCAGACAAGAGGAAAAAATAAGGGGTATTCAAATAGGAAAAAAGGAAGTCAAATTGTCTCTGCAGATGATATGATTGTATATTTAGGAAACCAAAAGGTCTCAGCCCCAAATCTCCTTCAGCTGATAAGCAACATCAGCAAAGTCTCAGGATACAAAATCAGTGTGCAAAAATCACAATCATTCCTATACAACGATAAAAGACAAACAGCCAAATCATGAGTGAATGCCCATTCACAGTTGCTACAAAGAGAATAAAATACCTAGGAATACAACTCACAAGGGATGGGAAAGACCTCTTCAAGGAGAACTACAAACCACTGCTCAAGGATATAAGAGAGGACACAAACAAATGGAAAAATATTCCATGCTCATGGATAGGAAGAAGCAATATCATGAAAATGTCTGTACTGCCCAAAGTAATTTATAGGTTCAGTGCTATAGACTACCATTGACTTTCTTCACAGAATTAGAAAAAAACTACTGGAAATTTCATATGGAACCAAAAAAGAGCTCATATAGCCGAGACAATTATAACCAAAAAGAACAGAGCTGGAGGCATCACGCTGCCTGACTTCAAACTATACTGCAAGGCTATAGTAATGAAAACAACATGGTGTAGGTACCAAAACAGGGATATAGACCAATTGAACAGAACAGAGACCTCAGAAGTAACACCATACATCTACAACCATATGATCTTTGACAGACCTGACAAAAAATAATCAATGGGGAAAAGATTACCTATTTAATAAATGGTGTTGGGAAAACTGGCTAGCCTTATGCAGGAAACTGAAACTGGAACCCTTCCTTACACCTTATACAAAAATTAACTCAAGATAAATTAAAGACTTAAATGTTTAAGTAAGACCTAAAACCATAATAACCCTAGAAGACAACCTAGGCAATACCATTCAGGACATTGGCATGGGCAAAGACTTCATGACTAAAACACCAAAAGCAATGGCAACAAAAGACAAAATTGACTAACGGGATCTAATTCAACTAAGGAACTTGTGCAGTTTTATTTGGAAGTGTGCAATGAGGTACGTCTGAGTTTCAAAAATGAAGAAAGTAAGTAGTCATGCTTTCCTGACTCTTTGGTAGACAGCCTTTTAAGACGGTGATTCTGACCTGTTACTGTTTTGGGTTTTCTATAATACTAAAGCTTACTGCCAACATGTAACCAAGAGCTTGAATTAATTAAAAAGAAATCACCCAAATGCACATTAAAAACCTCTTACAACATATGTGCACATTCATAGATAACTTGTAGAACTTGATTTTGTGTATTAAAAACTTGTAGAAAAGTTCAGGCAGTGCACTTATTGAATGCAACTTGGTCTTTGTAAAATCAGTGATATATATTTCAGATCTATCCACCTTGACCCAGTGAGGTATTTCTTGATTTATTGTATGATCTCATGATATGCCATGTGATGACTACAGCATATTATGCTCTCTTCATGCTGATACCATATGGACTTAAATATGATGACATACCAGCATGGATATGCTTACGTGGTTGGTTTTATTGATTTGTACTATATTAGAAATGAAACAGAAGTATTGGAAATCCTAGCAAGCATAGCTGTATCTCTCCCATGGCTGTGTTAATTGCAACTGTTTCCCCCTTAAAGCATGTCTGTTTGACATGTCCTAACTCTGAGAAAATCCAGTGTGTGCTTTTCAGAGAATAGCAGTAAGGAGTGGAAATGGCCAATGGTCAAAGTGTTACTTGTCCTCTTGGCTCCCCTTCATGAATGTTAAACTCTAAACTACTCAGGTCACAATTTAGAACCCCTTTGTTGATCCCTATAGAGTGTTCCCAGATATCAAATGACAAATAGGTCTTTGATGAAGAAACACCCTGTAAAGCCATATTGCTCTGGTTTTTGTGTGTGAGTGTGTGTGTGTGTATGTGTGTGTATTTTCTTCTCTTTTGAAAACTGTAAATAGAGGAATTTTCATTACAAATGAAAATGTTTCTGTTCCATATTTATTTCCTGTCTAATGTACTTTGCTCTTCCTGGATCTAGTAAGGATCTCAGCTTGTCTTTTTTATACCTGCAAAAAATTACATCAAGCTTCATTTTTCATGTCAATTACTGACATATTTTCAAGCCTTCACAAGTTATTTCTGAAGATTTGGTGCATCAAGGAGAGACCGTCATTGTAGTTAAAGAAGTTTTTAAATAGGTTATATTCAATAAAATTTCAGAGCTTGTTTCTCTGGAAAGCATAGACATAGTGGTGTTATGGGTAGTTAAGAACAGCTGTGAACGTGTCTATGGGAGATAGGAGGCCATGGGGCTGCTTTTGTGAAGAAGGAATTTGTACACGTTAGTCAAGTGTCTTGTCACATTTAACATTTTAATAAAGCAAAACCTTATCTTCAGATGTGTCAGAATAGGATTGTACAGATGTCACATTACAGTGGTGGTGAAAATAATGAAGAAACGAATGTAGAGGTCAAAGAATCAAGTCCACCAATATGGATATTAGATTTATGAACGAAAAAGAGTGTATGTCAAATTGGGCAGGTGTAAACAAAGAAAGCAGCTAGCTAGGTAATTTGGAGGTTTCTGATGAGGAGATTTGTGGGAAGTCACTTAATGGAAAGCAGAGGTTAGAAGGATGAGGGTGACCCACAGGATCTCATTTCTTCTCCCTAGAAGTTTTGCATATCAATGATACATGCTTCGTTCACATCAGTTTTTCTTTTTTGGAAAGCTGTGTTTGCTGGTGTAGTTATTTTGTAAAAGAACCGGAGAGACCCCTATGGTATATCATGTGAAACTAGATTTAGAAAAAAGGAATCAAAGAATGCATTTTTAGAGTACTAAACAGATAACTGCCAATAATGGTGACAATCATGACATATGTATATATATGTATTATGTCGTATTGGTTGGTTATTTATAAGAAAAGAAGTCTCTAGTGATTTAGAAACTTTGTTTAGTTTATTTTCATAGGAATCTGATTACACATTATTTCACTGATGTGTATGTTTTTGCAAAAGTGGACGAAGAGACGGTGAGAAGGCCGAACTGCTGAATCCAGGAAATGTAAAAACATCAGGAGTCTTCATGAGCATAAACAAAATGATTTTTTAAATTATAACTCTTAGATTAAGTGAACTCACTTCAGATGCATTCAGAATATTTGCATAAAGGATGATTTGATTTTTGGCTGTTCCAGGAACTACTGGAAGCAGGAAACAGTGATAGAGTTGGGATAAACCACAGTAACTCATTATTCTTCTTTGTTACTATTGGGCACCAGAGGTATATGTTTTGTTGATATTGGTTATTCAAATGAGATAAACGTGAATATGCATACATTGGCTTTGTTTTTCAAGGAGCTATTGGATAAAATAGCAACTTAATAAAAATTCTCTAGAGAATAACATGATAATTTAACCAGACTATTTTAGAAGTGAAAATAATGTTGAATTCATTACTTGACTCCCAAATGGTTATTTTCAAGGAATATTGGCGTGATTTCCAGATGTAAAAGCTTATTCATATCTAATGCTTGTAGCAATTTTATTTTGTATAAGTATGTCAAATTTGGTAATTTATTATACTTTTTGATGAAGTTTATATATTATACCTTGTTGCCATGAGTGGATGAAGATTTCGGAAGGCTAAACTAGAAGATGCAAGAGATGTAGGCACATTATTACACCATATGGGTGTGAGAAATAATGAACATTACATACTATAATTCACCAAACATATATCCAAGCTGATTAAGTTAGGACACTTCCACTGAAGAGATGTGAAGTGTACATTCAACTAAAGTGTCATTATAATTGTGTACCTTCTCACTGATTGATCAAGTTAAAGAGCATGATGAATGTTTGCAGTAAAATGTTCCAAATCATTCTGATATCTTGCATGAAAGACACGCGGGTGCATGTATCACCGGCTTTGACGTTGATTCCCAGGTGTATGAGTTGGACTCTGATTTTAGATCACATTTGTCCTCAACAATCAGCATATCCACATTGATATTGACATGGTTTTATTTTAGTTTTAGACATATGGAGAAAGTTATATCACATTTGAAATTGTCAGTATATATTTCTTGAAGCCTGTATTCCTATTTTCTTCAGTGTATTTCCTTCATGTTTAGTCCAAAGAAACAAAGTATAAAATATCAAAGCCTACAGTAATACAGGCAGGAGTATAAAACTTGATGCTAACATGCTATCCATCCATTAATGTATGGATAACATTATCATATTTACATATGATTGATTATGTAACCCTTTTGCTTTTCAGTGTCTTCTCAGAAACAACCAGCTGAGAAGGCAATTAAAGTCTCATTTATCTGTTGAACTATTAACTGTATAGTCTATGAAACCTACTTTACGTATTATTTTGTTTTCAAATCTCATTCAGGCTACAAGTAATGAGAAATATTCTGTTTCAAATACAGCCACAGAAATAAAGGGGGGACCAATATCTGGGACAGGTAATTTTGCAAAACACATCTAATGTCACGTTCAATCAAGATAGAAGAGAACGTCCCTTCTCCAAATAAATCAGTGGAGAGTTACATGTAACATAGTATATATTCTATGTAACATGTGTATTCTATGTAAAATATGTAATATATAACATATATTACATATAATTAATAACATAGACATATAATGTATATTTAATATATGTATTATACATACAACGTATTATATATAATATATATCATATATGTGTCATAAAATATAATATGTATTATAGGTCATATTTTATATATACAATTATATATTATGATATGTAATTTTATATTATATATAAACTAGATATAATATATATATTATCTATAATGAATGTTATATATAATGTAGATATAATATATATAATATATATAATGTATATTATATATTTAATACGTATATTAACCATATAATATATTCTATATATGATATATAATATATATTATATATGTCATAAAATATAATTATTATATGTCATATTGTATAAATATAATACTTATATATTATCAATTATTATAATACATATAATATATATAATATAAGATGCAGGATGTAAAACAATATTATATATATATGTTCCATATATCTATGATTCTATATATTATTATATACATAATGTATAGATATATCTGTGGGTGCCCTATTTCCCATCTCATAACTTGTTTTAAGAAGCGCAGCATAATAATGTGTGGGCTTGGGATTCAGTTTTTGAAACAAAACGCTGAGCCTTCAATGACCTTTGGGTCTATGTAAAAGCACTCCTGTCTTCCTGGCAGCAGTAGGACCTCACAGTGTGGATTGTGCCCTCAACCTGCAATGTTTATGTCCTATCGCCATGGTGACGGGATTAGGAATCTCCTGCTTTTGGTCCTAAGGGCCACTGTCTGTGCTGTGTTTTTCAAAGGTCAGAACAGAGTGAACCTTTGTGGTTTTATTTTCCCTGAGTTTGATTTTTCTCATGGGGAACCTGTGTTGCTGCTTTGAAGGTATATTCATACTGGCCTTTCAAATGCCAACTCTTCAAATTACTAGTTAAAGCTTTCAAAATATGTTATTTAAAAAGTTATCCTCTGTATTTTCCATATGCAGTTATAAATATGTTCCATGGTTATGTTTTATTCCTCAGTTTATATATTTGATTATTGTACCAAGCAGAGTACCTTTGAAATTTGTTTTCATTTAAAAAATACGTATCTTGGCTCAGGCCTGTAATCCCACCAATTTGGAGGCCAAGGTAAGGGGATCACAAGGTGAAGAGATCAAGACCATCCTGGCCGATGCAGTGAAACGCTGTCACTACTAAAAATACAAAAAAATAGCTAGGCATGGTGGCAGCTGGTGTAGTCCCAGTGTGGTGTACTCCCAGCTACCTGGGAGGCTGACGGGGCACAATCGCTTGAACCCATGAGGCAGATGTTGCAGTGAGCAAAGATGGCGCCATTGTACTCCACCCTGTGAAACAGGACAAGACTCTGTCTAAAAAAAAATTATATATGATATATATTATATGTTATGTAATATGTTTTATATGTAATATATAACCGCATATATATTATAAGTCATAATATATAACATTAATCCTATGTCATATTATATATATGATATATATTTCATAATATATAATATATAATTCATATTATACATCTTCTATATGAAAATATATAATTATAGATAACACAAAATAAATTGATATATAATATGATATATAACATATACTATATCATATATGATATATACTATATATTATTTATTACATATTATAATTTATATATACTATAATTTATATAATGATATAATTATTTATATAATATAAATTATTATATATGATTATATAATTATATATAATATAAATAATGATAAATATAATTACATATTTATATCATTATATGTATACTATAATTATATATATAATTATATATATCATATAATAGACACCATACATATTATATAATATATAATATATATTATACAATGTAGGATACATAATATATACGATATTTAATATATCATAATATAATATATATTTCAATATTATGTATGTAACTTATATTACGTGATATATAATATATATAATGTAATGTTAAATAATATATTATAATATATATTATATTATGATATATTATGGAATGTATGTAATAAAATTATCTATAACATAATATATGGTTATATATATTATATTATATATTTACGTATAATATTATACGGTTATATATAATTTTAAATAGTTATGAATAATATAATATAAAACACATGTAATATGTATAATAAAACATATATTGTATACCATATATATTACGTATCATATATTGTATGTTATATATCATATATTGTATATCATATATCATATATTACATGTTATATATATCACATTCCACATATTGTATATTATAAAGTATATATAATATATGACATATATTATATTATATATAATATATTCTACGTTATATGTAACAGTATATATTCTACGTAACGTGTATTCTATGTAAAATATGTAATATATAACATATATTACATATAATTACTGACATAGACATATACTATATATTTAATATATGTATTATACATACAACGTATTATATATAACATATATATCATATATGTGTCATAAAATAAAATATATATTATATGTCATATTTTACATATACAGTTATATATTATTATTTGTTATTTTATATTATATTTAAGCTGGATATAATATATATATTATCTATCATGAATGTTATATATGCCGTAGATATAATATATATAATATATATAATGTATATTATATATTTAATACGTATATTAACCATATAATATATTCTATATATGATATATAATATATATTATATATGTCATAAAATATAATTATTAAATGTCATAGTGTATAAATAGAATACTTATATATTATCAGTTAGTATATTACATATAATATATATAATATAAGATGCAGGATGTAACACAGTATTTTATATATATGTTACATATATTATATATATGATTCTATATATTATTATATACATAATGTATAGATATATTAGTGGGTGCCCTATTTCCCATCTCATAACTTGTTTTAAGAAGCGCAGCATAATAATGTGTGGGCTTCGGATTCAGTTTTTAAAACTAAACACTGAGCGTTCAATGACCTTTGGGTCTATGTATAAGCACTCCTGTCTTCCTGGCAGCAGTTGGACCTCACAATGTGGATTGTGCCCTCACCCTGCAATGTTTATGCCCTATCGCCATGCTGACGGGATTAGGGATCTGCTGCTCTTGGTCCTAAGGGCCACTGTCTGTGCTGTGTTTTTCAAAGGTCAGAGCAGAGTGAACCTTTGTGGTTTTATTTTCCCTGAGTTGGATTTTTCTCATGGGGAACCTGTGTTGCTGCTTTGAAGTTATATTCATACTGGCCTTTCAAATGTCAACTCTTCAAATTACTAGATAATGCTTTCAAAATATGTTATTTAAAAAATTATCCTCTGTATTTTCCATATGCAGCTATAAATATGTTCCATGGTTATGTTTTATTCCTCAGTTTATATATTTGATTATTGTACCAAGCAGAGTAACTTTGAAATTTTTTTTCATTTCAAAAATATGTATCTTGGCTCAGGCCTGGAATCCCAGCAAATTTGGAGGCCGTG